>NC_000009.12:66923678-67089823 GCF_000001405.40 Homo sapiens
AGGTAGCAGGCTTCAGAAAGAATAGATTGTAAATGTTTTTTATCAGACTTAAAAAGGTACCAAACTCAGTTAATTCTCTCCCGGATCAGGAAGAAGACCTGGAAATAAAAGGAGATTTTCTGTAGAAGGTAGATTTTCCCACAAGAGACAGCTTTGCAGGGCCATTTCAAAATATGTTTAAGAAATTTAGCCAGGCACGTTAGCTCATGCCTATAATCCTAGCACTTTGGGAGGCTGAAGCAGGTAGATCACTTGAGGTCAGGAGTTTGAGACCAACCTGGCCAACATGGCAAAACCACGTCTCTACAAAAAATACAAAAAAATAAGCCAGGAATGGTGGCGGGCACCTGTAATCCCAGCTATTCAAGAGGCTGAGGCAGGAGAATCACTTGAACCTGGGAGACGGAGGTTGTGGTGACTGAGCCAAGATCATGCCACTGCACTCCAGCCTGGGCAACAGAGGGAGACTTCATCTCAAAGAAAAAGAAGAAGAAGGAGAGAAAAGAAATATCTTTTGAGGTAAAATATTTTTATTTCTTTTAGGGCTTGCTGTCTGTCATGTTGGTATCTTAATGGCTACCAAGAGTCTGTTTCATCAGTCGTAAGGTCTCTGTTTTAATGTTAAATGCTGGTCAGCTGTGCCTGAATCCCAAAGGAACGTGAGTATAGTGTGGCATGTCTGACCTCTACTACCCATCATGGCCTGAACTGATTTTCCAGGTTAACTTAGGAATGCCCTTGTTTGAGAAGAGGGGTCCATTCAATTGGTTGATGGGCTTAGAATTTTACTTTTGATTTACATAGTTAATGAACCAGAAAGGAAGATGAAATGTAATAAAAATGTTTGATCCAAATGGAAGAAAAGAAGAAAAAAGAACAAAAATCAAAATTATCGACTCAAACCTAACTATATAAATAATCATATTAAATGTAAATGGTTTAAACACCTCAATTAAAAGTCAGGAATTGTCATATAAATTTTTTAGGAAGACCCGATTCTATGCTGCTTACAAGAAATACACTTTATATATAAAGAAACAAATAGGTTAAAAAATACATACCATGTTAACAGAAATCAACAGAAAGCTGATAAATCTAGCCAGATTAATCAGGCATTAGAAGAAAAAAATGCCAGTAGCAGGAATGAGAAAGGTGACATGATTTTAGGTTTTAGATGTTAAAAGAATCATAATAAAATATTATATATAACTTCATGTCAATGATTTCCACAATTGTCATAAAATAGATGAACTCCTTGAAATACACAAACTACCATATCTCACTCAAGAAGAAATACATAATCTGAATAGCCCTACATCTGTTAGAGAAATACAATTTGTAGTTACAAAACCTTCACATAAAGAAAATGCCAGGCCCAGGTGGCTTCACTAGTGAATTATATCAAATATTTAAGAAGTAATACTAATTTTACATGAACTCTTCATAGAAAATTTTTGAGAAGGTAATTATTTCCTACCTCATTCTATGAAATTAGCATTACCCTGATATAAATGTCAAAGACATTACAAGAAAAGTAAACTAGAGACAATATCTCTCATGACATTAGTTGAAAAAATGCAATTTTAGCAAATAAATTACAGCATTATGTAAACAGAATAACACACAAGGACCAAGGGGGCTTATCCTAAGAATGTGAAATTGTTTTAACATTTAAACATCAAACAGTGTACTAAGAAGAAGGAAGACAAAAACAGAAATGAAAAAGACATTGCAACTGATGTCACAGAAATCCAAAGATCATAAGAAACTGCTGTGAGAAAAAATACACCAATAAACTCAATAACCTAGAAGAAATGGATAAATTCCTAGAAACATACAACCTACCAAGAGTGCATCATGAAAGAAATAGGAAATTTAAACAGGCAAACAGTGAATAAGGAGATCAAATCAGTAATAAAAAAAACTCCCAACAAAGCAAAGCCTCCGACCTGATGACTCTGCTGCTGAAGTCTACCAAATATTTAAAGAAGAATTAATACCAATCATTTTAAAACCCTTCCCAAAAAATCAAACAGGAGAGAATATTTCCAAACTCATTTCACGAGGCCAGCATTATGTGAATTTAAAGACAGACAAAAGACACTACAAAAAGAAAACTACAGGTCTATGTCCCTGATTAATATAGATGCAAGGATCCTCAACAAAATAATTGCAAACCAAATTTAACAGCAAATTAATAGGATCATACACCATGACCAAGTGGGATTTATCCCTGAGTTGCAGGGATGGTTCAACATATGAAAATCAATTAATGGGATACAGTTAATAGAATAAAAGATAAAAATCACAAAATCATCTCAATAGATTTAAAAATAATAATTTGATAAAATTTGACACTTTTTCATGTTAGAAACTCTCAACAAACTAGGAAGAGATGGAAGTTACCTCAACATATTGAGGCCAGATATGAAAATCCCACAGCTAACACCACACTCAGAAGTAAAAAACTAAAAGCTTTTCCTCTAATATCAGGAAAAAGACAGGGATGTTCACTTTTACCACTTCTATTCAACATAGTAATGAAAGTCCTGCCCAGAATGATTATTCAAGATCAATACAAAAAATACATCAAGTTCAGAAGGAAGAAGTGAAATTGTACCTGTTTAAACATGATCTAATATACAGAAAACTCTAAAGACTCCACAAAAAACTGTTAGAATTAATAAGTCAATTCAGCAAAGTAGTATGATAAAAAAATGTAAAAATCAATTGCATTTCTATACACCAAAAATAAACTCTCTGAAAGAAAATTAGGAAACCAATCCCATTTACAACATTATCAAAAATAATCAAATACTTAGGAATAAACTTAGCCAAGGAGGTAAAAGACACACTGCAAACTGCAAAACATTAATTTAAGAAATTTAAAAGGACACAAGTAAATGGAAAGACATACTGTGTTCATAGATTGGAAGTCTTAATATCTACACTACTCAAAGCAATCTACAAATTCAATTCAATCTCCATAAAAATCCTAATAGCATTTTTACAGACAGAGAAAAAACAATTCTAAGATTCATATATAATTGGAAAGTACCCTGAATAGCCAAAACAATCTTGAGAAGAAAGAGCAAGGCTAGAGGCATCACTTCCTAATTTCAAAATATATTGCAAAGCTATAGTAATTAAAATAGTATGTTAACAGCATAAAGATAGACATATAAGACCAATGGGTTAGAATAGGGAGCCAAGAAATAGATCTGTGTATATACAGTCAATTGATCTTTGACATGGGTGCCAAGAATGCACAATCAGGAAAGGACAGTCTCTTCAACAAATGCTGCTGGGAAAACTGGATATCTCCATGCAAGAGTAGAACTGGATCCTTGTCTTATACCATACACAAAAATTAAATCAAAATGGATTAAAAACTTAAATGCAAGGTGAGACTGTAAAGCTTCTATAAGAAAACACTGGGAAAAAGATTAATTTCCAAAATACGTCAGGAACTCAAACAACTCAGTAGATAAAACTAACAATCTGATTTTTTAAATGAGCAAAGGACTTGAATAGACATTTTTCCAAAGAAGAGAAATACCCACAGGTATATGAAAAGATGCTCAGTGTTACTAATCATCAGAAAAATGTAAATCAAAACCACAATGAAATATTTCCTCACACCTGTCAGGATGATGATTATTTAAAAAAAAGACAAGTGTTGGAAGGGATGTGGAGAAAGGGAACCCTTGTACATTGTTTGTGGGAATACACGATGGTGCATTTACTATGGGAAAAAAGAATGAACGTTCTTCAAAAAGTTAAAAACAGAGCCATTATATTGCTCCAATAATCCCACTTCTGGGTATTTATCCAAAAGAATTGAAATCAGGATCTTGAAGTAATATTACCATTCCTATGTTCATTGCAACACTATTCGTAATAGCTCAGATGTAGAAACAACATTAATGTCCATTAACAGATAAATTCATAAAGCAAATGTGGTATAGACATACAATGGAAATACTATTCAGCATTAAAAAAGAAATTCTGCAATATGCACAACATGAATAAACCTTGAGGATATTATTCCAAGTGAAATAAGCCAATCACAGAAAGACAAATCCCGTATAATTTGCTTATCTTAGATAGTGAAAATATTAACAGTACAATTCATAGAATCAAAGAGTGGAATGGTGGTTGCCAGGACGGGAGTGAAAGGGAAGTGAGGAGTTGCTTATCAATGGGTATAAAATTTCATTAATGCAAGATGAATTAGCTTTAGAGATCTGCTGTATAATACTGTGCCTATAGTTAACCATATTTTATTGTATACTGAAAAATCTCATAAGAGAGTAGATCTCATGTTATATTCTTACCACAATAAAATAAAAATTTTAAAAATCAAGCACTGTAGTTCACCAAATTGAGAAATTAAAAAAGAAAAGATCTTATCTCAGTATAATCAGAAGAAAATAACTCTCAGCAAACTGGCACTAGCAGGAAACTTCTTCAACCTGATTAAGGTAATTTACAAAAAACCTACAGGTAATGTCACGCTTAATGTTGAAAGACTGAATGCTTTCCTCCTGAGATCAGGAATGAGATGAGAATGTCAGCTCTTACCACTTCTATTCAACATTGTAATTGAGGCAATAAAGCCAAAAGAAAAGAGAAAAACACACAGGTGAATTGGAAAAAAAGCAAAATTGTTTCTGTTTCTCAGGTAACATGACAGGAAGTTTTGTGGAATCTACACAAAAACTATCAGAAATTAATATGCTACTAATTATTATTAACTAATAAGCTGATAAAGCTACTAGTACTAACAAATTAGTTAAGCAAAGTTGAAGGATAGAATACGACTATACAAAGTTTCTTCCTTATACTAGCAATGAACAATCAGAAATTGTATTTTAAAATTATGATTTATAGGCCATACACGGTGGCTCATACCTGTAATCCCAGCACTTTGGGAGGCCAACGCGGACAGATCACGAGGTCAGGAGATGGAGACCATCCTGGCTAACACGGTGAAACCCCATCTCTACTAAAAATACAAAAAAAAAAAAAAATAGCCAGGAGATTTACAATAGCAGCAAAATATCAAATACTTAGGGATAAATTTGAGCAACAAAACATGTAAGACCCTTCTACCCTGGTTTGATAGAGAGGAGTGGAAGAGAAGGCTTGCCAAAGGGCAACAGGAACATTTTGGGGTGACAGATATTAATTCTTGACTTTTAATGATAGTTTCCTGTGTTTTACACGTGTCAAATACTATCACACTGTACACCTTAAATATGTGCAGTTAATTGTATGCCAATTATACCTCACTTCTCTTAGGAATGAGAAATTGGCAATACATGTTAAACCCACTCTGTTACTTTCTTTTCCAGGGCCTCAGACAGAGACAGAGGGGTGTGACAATCACAGCTGTGATAGCTAAACTTGCCCAAAAATCTGTTTAAACTCAGTAAAAATGAATAAATGAAAAATCATTTTGCTTGAGAATAAATTTCTCTTTTTAACTTCTTGCACAAATTGCAACTGCATTGCCCTTCCCTTGCTTTGCCTTTTGATCTCAGAAATGATCCTGCAGTCCGACCCTGAACACTAACCTTGATTGGAGCAGCAGGAAAATATCATGGGATGTCTGAACAAATTATGAAGCTTATAACCCCCAGGTCTTACAATTTTCCAAGCTTCTCCTCCTAGGCATTACCTGTGCTACCACACAGAGCCATTGCAGGCACGGGGAAATTGAGAATTCTTCTTAAAGCTGTTAAGGGACTGAGGAATAAGTGAGATTTGTCTCTTAAGCACTGAAGGATTCCCTAAAATGTATAGACAGCCTTGTAGACAGCTATTGAATTATTTGTCCAACTGTGTCTGGAATGTTTCTTCCAGGATGCAGGTTCTTTAATGCTCCTAATCTAAAGATAGTTTAGATTTGAGTCAATTTTTCCCCCAGGTCTTAAGCTAGGAAACTATGCAGGTAACTAATGGGATTATGACAAAACTCTTCAGGAATCTTTTTATTTTAACCCTTAAAGTAAAAGTGATTCTTTAAATCTTCCTGAACCTTGAAGAATTGAGCTAACTCAGATATTAACAGTTTAGAGTTGCTTTTTCTTTTTCTTTTCTTTCTTTTTTTTTTTTTTTTAGACGGAGTCTTGCTCTGTTGCCCGGGCTGGAGTGCAGTGGCATGATCTCGGCTCGCTGCAACCTTCGCCTCCCGGGTTCAAGCGATTCTCCTGCCTCAGCCTCCTGAGTAGCTGGGACTACAAGTGCCCGCCACCACGCCCAGCTAATTTTTGTAATTTTAATAGAGACGGGGTTTCACCATATTGGTCAGGCTGGTCTTGAACTCCTGACGATCAGGTGATCCACCCGCCTTGGCCTCCCAAAGTGCTGGGATTACAGGCGTGAACCACCATGACCAGCTTAGAGTTTCTCTTTCTACATCATTTACCTTGTATGTCTATATCTAACCCAGGGCTCAAGACAGTGATCTTAGACTCAACAACTTGGAATTATTTTTCCATTCACACAATTTCTCCCAGAGCTGTTTAAATTCACAAGGTAGCTGCTTCTGATGGGTTTATGAGTCAGATTTAGACTTAGCTCCCTCAAATTTTACAGAGATCTCTTTTTTCCAACTTGTTTCCAACAAGAGTGTCACAAACACTAGGTGCTAGAAAACCCTCCACTCAGAATAGTGACCTGCATGTGTAGCATCTACAAGACCCCCAGCAAAGACTTGACCTCATTCCCTGAGACTCTATTTAAAGCTGGGACTTGTCCAACTCTGGATGAGCTTGCCTTCTCAAGTTTCTAACTCCTAGGGGTGAGCAAGAAGCTCTACAGTTAAAATTTAATGGAATTTTCAGCCCGGCATGGTGGCTCACGCCTGTAATCCCAGAACTTTGGGAGGCCGAGGCAACCAGATCACAAGGTCAAGAGATCGAGACCATTCTGGTCAACATGGTGAAATGCCGTCTCTACTAAAAAAATACAACAGAGCAAGACTCCGTCTCAAAAAAAAAATGGAATTTTCTCACATTTTTTCAACATTTCCAGAAAGATGGTTGACTTTGCTGGGTTTTCTTTCCTTTTCTTAACCTATAAGAGCAATATCTGTAACCTGCATCCTTTGCCCACAAATGAACTCTGACTTCCTGAAACTCTAAGTGAGCAACTTGGTTGTTACTTCTGGAGGTATCAGCCTTCTGCTAATTGCATTTAAGATGCCATTGTAGAAAGTTTTGGCCATAGGACCTGGCTGGAAAACACTGGCCCCACTGGACTGTACTCTGTACTCAAACTTTCCTTAAGTATAAAGATTTGATAGAGAATGGCTTTTATATAGGAAGATCCTGGGGATAGTTAAGCACATGAGAAATGATTATTGGGGTTCTCTGAGAAAGAAAATTGTCAGAAGAGGCAATTGAATCACCGAGATCTACAAACTAATGTAGAATAAGTCACTGCAAGAGTCAGCTTAATTTCTCTCCAAATGAGAAAGCAGTCGTCAAACTCCTTCACATATCCTTGAAACATACGAACAATCTGGGCATCTGTTGTCTACACAGGGGTTGCTTCTCTTGAATTCTTTAAACATAATTTGGTACAATAGAGTATTAGTCTTTTGCATTTGTGTGTGTGTGTGTCTGTGTGTATACACACACAGACATACACACATATGCCATACAATATTTTTTGAAGTTTTATTAAGTTTAATAATTGAATGACTAATACTGCAGCTATGTCTAGCATATTGTGTTAGAAAACATGCTTAGCCTCTCTGTAAGAGAGAGCCCCAGAGACCTGGGAACGTTTATCTATGTAGAACCATATATCTAGTAGAACCATAGAACATTTATCTATGTAGGCTGAATGTGCGATTTATCATATTCTCAACAATAATCCTACGCTTGGTGAAATGTATAAGGGACCTTTGCGTACCTTTTTTTCTTTTTGCAACTTCATGTGAATCTACAATTATTTCAAAATAAAAAATTTTAAAAAGTACATGTGTCAAAAGAAATCTCTTGATAAACATAAAACAATAAAAAAGGAACCTTTGTCAGAAACACATGGATAGGCTCTCTGTGCTTGTCTCTCATGGCTGTTGCTTAACTTGAATAAAAACTCACATCATGTCAAATATTACAAGCAACATATCTGTGACATAGTCTATTGAAGCAGTCACATTGGCATTGGGGAGATACACAAACAAAGTGAACCATAGCCATCTGGTATTCTCAGCTTGTTTACAAAATCACTTAATGAGGCTAAGTTGAAGATGTGGAAATAGAGGTGCATCTGGGAGTGAATGGTCTCACCTGTCCCCGACTTACTTTTCTCTCTCTCCATTTCCCTCAGGGCTCAATGAAGAGGGAGTCATGAAGAATTTGGAAGAGCAAGTGCCCCAGTCCTATGTATTTATGTCTCCCCACTGATGTACAGTGCTCCATCTGCCATAAATGTCTATTGACTCAATTCTGAGTCATTTACTGGACTTCTATTTTTTTTCCTTTGGGCTATTTCATTTATCAGGAGATTTGCCCCATGCTGTCTTGAAGGCTAACATTATGGATTTTGATTGGTGTACGGCAGTTCCTTACATCTTATTATTATTATTTTTATTCTACAGATTTGTTTTCAATTCTTCGGCCTTTGACTTTTTTTGTACGAAGTTAAGAATTATTAATAGTTGTTTAAATACTCAAAAAACACAGTGAAAATTTTTAGGGGAAATGCACTGAATATATCTATCAATTTGAAAATGGAGGCTGGGTGCAGTGGCTCACGCCTGTAATCCCAGCACTTTGGGAGGCAAAGGCAGGCGGATCACGAGGTCAGGAGATCCAGACCATCCTGGCTAATATGGTGAAACCCCGTCTCTACTAAAAATAAAAAAAATTAGCTGGGCGCGGTGGCTGGTGCCTGTAGTCCCAGCTACTGGGGAGGCTGAGGCAGGAGAATGGCGTGAACCCGGGAGGCGGAGCTTGCAGTGAGCCGAGATCGTGCCACAGCACTCCAGCCTGGGCGACAGAGTGAGACTCCGTCTTAAAAAAAAAAAGAAAAGAAAATGGAAAAGCTTAAAATCATGAGTTATATATTATTATCTTACATATTACTATATACATAATTCAGTGAATTATAGTATTCAAGAATATAGAATGAATTTTCATTTAGTTTTATAAATTTCCATGTTTCTTGATCTTATTGAGCATTCAAGGCAATCAATAAAATATACTCCTGATACTAGAAATTCCTTATATTTTCTGGGTATTTTTTGTGGCATCTGTACATTGCAAATACTTTCTACCAGTCTGAAGATTGGTTGTCACTTTGTTAGGTTTTCTTTAAGATGTTTTTTCTTTCTGGCCGGCCGCGGTGGCTCACGCCTGTAATCCCAGCATTTTGGAAGGCCAAGGCGGGCGGATCACTAGGTCAGGAGATCGAGACCATCCTGGCTAACACGGTGAAACCCCCTCTCTAATAAAAATACAAAAAATTAGCCGGGCGTGGTGGCAGGCACCTGTAGTACCAGCTACTCAAGAGGCTGAGGCAGGAGAATGGCGTGAACCCGGGGTCTGGGCTTGCAGTGAACCGAGATTGCGCCACTGCAGTCCAGCCTGGGTGACAGAGCAAGACTCCATTCAAAAAAAAAAAAAAAGAGAGATTTTTTTCTTTTCAATGTGGAAGAGTTAAATTATCTTTTCCTATTGTGGTTTTGTTTCAGACAGTATTCATAAGAAAATTCTCTTATTCTTTTTACTAAATGACTCACATATTTTGTTTCAAATTTAAGTTTTTAATCCCACTGGGATGAATTTAGTGTAAGGCGTAAGTACGGATCCACAATGTTTCAATATGGATATCTGAATGGTTTAACTGCTTTTATTTTATTTATTTATTTATTTATTTATTTATTTATTTTGAGATGGAGTCTCGCTCTGTCACCCAGGCTGGAGTGCAATGGTGTGATCTTGGCTCACTGCAACCTCCGCCTCCCGGGTTCAAGCGATTCTCCTGCCTCTGCCTCCCAAGTAGCTGGGATTACAGGTGCCCACCACCACGCCAGGCTAGTTTTTTGTATTTTTAGTAGAGAGGGGGTTTCACCATGTTGGTCAGGCTGGTCTTGAATTCCTGACCTCAAGTGATCCGCCCGAGTGATCTGCCCGCCTCCACCTCTCAAAGTGCTGGGATTACAGGCGTGAGCCACAGCGCCCGGCCATGACAGCTTTTAAAATAGTCATCTTTCTAAATTGCCCTGCTGTTTCCACTTTCTCATAGGTATCTGTTTCCATTTTGTTTCTTCAGTTTCATTGGCTTGTCTCTATTTTTTCCAATACAAAGCTATCTTAATTAATTTATTTTCATCATAAATTGTAAGGTCCAGTAGATAATTTCTCTTATGTTATTACTGCATGAGAGTGTCTTTGGTTTTCTTTGGTGTGAGGTTTATTTTTTCATATTAATTTTGCATCAGCTTATGAAGGACATTAGGAAATCTGGTTGAGGTTTTGGCTGGAATTAACATTGACAATTTGGGTGGAATTGATATTTTTTATGATTTCAACTTTTCCTATTGATATTTGCAGTATAAATCTCCATTTATTTGCTTTTATTTTTTTTCTCTTATGAATAAGTTCACCTTTAAAATGGTGAAACCATAGTATTCATCTCCCAGGGTAGGTTAAATTTCTTACAATAGTGAGGGGACTATAAAATACTTTTTATCTTTGGTGAAATTTACCCCTAAGTTCATAGCATTTGAGTTTGCTATTGAAAAATTTGTTATTTATATTTTTAATTTAACAATTACACATTTTTTTTAAACCAGTTAATCACCAAGTATGCTAATCCTAAATTACATTTTCTCTCCTCACTGATGTGTGTGTCCCCTCTGTAAGACACCATGTGGATATAAATGCTAAGTATGATTATGGGCCTCTGGTCTTTTCCTGTGAGCTACTTTGTCTCTCACTGTGCCTATACCACTGTCTTGATGAGTCTGGCTTTCAAAAACCTTGATTGGTAGTAAGGCACGTGCTCCAAATGTGTTTGTTTCTTTTACAGATATTTTTGAGTTTTCTTACCTCTCTTTTTTTCAAATATATGTGAAAATCTGGCTATCGATGTCCTCACTCAACCTAGTGGATATTTTAAGTGGAAAAATATTGTATATAGAGAGCATATTGAAGTGTGAGATGCTTCATGTATGGAACTATCTTATGCATGAACATAGACCTGATTAAGTTATGTGCATTGACAGGTTGGAAAGATGCATTTAAGATTTAAGAACAATCAATGACTTCCTCTGTTTCCACTAGAGTCCCCACAAAATTCAAACACATTAGGGGAAAAACATAGATGAAGTCCAAAATATTTTTAAAAATAGCTCACAGATAATGACTCATAGGACAAAACATTTAGGGTTGGAGCTCAGCCAGCTTTAAGTTCTCAGAGCTTAAAGGGTCAGGGTCACTAGCTCAAACCTGAGGCCCCTAATCAGCCTGGCACCTGTCCTAAGGTTGGAATGGGCTGATACTTTGCACTGGACACTCTTGTTCCCTGAGAGATGCCCACTTTGCTCTACTTGCCTCATTTGTTCTAATAAGATCCTATACTGGTGATGTCAGCAGGTGTCTGATACAAGGAAATATGGTGTATGGAGTGGGAGAGGTGAAGAGTAGTGAGGTAGTGATTTCATGGTGTGGGATACATTAGGACCAACCCACTTAGAAAAAAATGGCTTTCGCAACAATTTTTTACCACTAATGCCCTTGGCAAAAACATCCTTAAGAACAATTGCCCTTAGCACCAACACCTTTAAAAATATGCCTATCACAACAATGACTTGTTAATAATGGCCCTTAGCAACAAATCCCATAGCAACAATACCCTTAGCATAGACACCATCAGGAATAATGCTTTAAGACAACATTGTTAATATTAACCCTTTTAGCCAAAAGACTCTTGGCAACATAATCTAAGCAACAGTAACATTAGAAAAATGCCCTCAGCTATAACACTATTTGCCACAGTTGCTCTTAGCAACACCTTTGACTGACATTAACACTCCTAGAAGCAATATCTTACATTAGCAATCATGGACCTTAACAACCACCCCAAACAACAATGACCTTAGCAACAAATAGCTTGAAATGAATACCTTTACCAAAATGTCCTTTAAAAAAATGGCCTTTAGCATCAAGACCCTTAACAAAAATGGCCCTTAGGAACAATGACCCTAGAGACAACACTCATAACATAACAACAATGGCCCCTAACAACAATGTCCTTAGCAGCAACATCATTAGCAATGGTGCACCTTACTGACAAATCTCTAAGCAACAACAGCCTTAGCATAATTGCCTGTAGAAATAGTGGGAATTATGCCAATTGCAACAATGCCGTTGGCAACAATGTCTTTAAAATCAATGTCCATAGCAACAATGCCCTTAGGAACAATGGTATGTCCATTTACCTCTATAAATTGCCATGGTACTTTGGAAATGGGCAAACCATGGCCTGTTAGTGTATCTTAGCAAAAATACCCTTAGAAATAATACCTTCAAAAACCATGGCCCTTAGCAATAACAAAATTAGAAATAAAGCAATTAGCAACAATGCCCTTACAAAAATGTCCTTTATAGTGGCATTAACAACAGCACTCTTACCAATGGCACCTTAGTAAAAATGCTTTTAGTATCAACTCCTTAGCAATAATGACATCAGCAACAGTGTTGTTGGTAACAGCACACTTTACAGCAATGCCCTAGCTACAAAATACATAATATCAATGAACTTAGCAACAATGGCTCCTGGAGAAATGCTCTGAATGGTAATACTCATAGAATCAACACTCTTAACATCAGTACCATTAGCAAGAAAGGGGTAAACAACTGACCTTAGAAATGACATTCTTAATAATGTCCTTAGTAAAAAAATCATGCGCATCACCCCTATAACCAGTGCCCTTAGCAACAGTGCTCTTATCCAAACTTGCCTTACCAAGAGTTTACCATTGTTTACCTTATAAACAATGGCCCTTAGCAACCACACTCTTTGCAACAATGTCCTAACAATATTACTATTAGCAAAAATCCCCTAAGACCAGCATTCTTGACAACAGCCCTCTTGGCCCTTAGAAGCAATGACTTTAGCAACCAACAGTGAGCCATAAAAATAAAGCCTTGGTAATAATGCTGTTAGCATTGACCTTAGTAAAATGGTCTTAGCAACAGTCTTTAGCAAGAGTGACTCTAGAAATGTCCCCTTCCCAACAATGCCCTTTGAAGAAAATACCTGTAACAACAATGCCTTTAGTCACAATGCCTTCAGCAAAAATGTCCCTTGCCAACATTAACACCCTAGGAACAATGATCTTAGAAACAGTGTCCTTAACAATAATATACAAAAACATTCTAAGCAATAGTACCCTAAGCAACAACATACTTAGCAGTAATACCCTCAGTAACAATACTCTTAGCAACACGAGATTTAGGATCAGTGCTGGTAGAAACAGCATCATGAGAAACACTAGCAATAGTAATAATGCCTTTAGCCACAATGACCTTCAACAGTTCTCTTATGAACATCACCCATAACTACAATGGCTCCAGGAACAATGCACTTAGAAATAACTTCCTTAGCAACAGTGACCTTACTATCGATGCCAATTGAAATATCGCCCTTAGGCACGTGTTCCATGGCAGCAACATCATTAGTAACCACAGCTTTTGTAACAATGACTTTTAGCAAAAACATTAGCATAGTGCCTTAACAAAGGCCCTTAGAAACAATGCAACTACAGGCCGGGCAACGTGGCTCATGCCTGTAATCCCAAGCACATTGGGAGGCTGAGGTGGGTGGATCACTTGATGTCAGGAGTTTGAGACCAGCCTGGCCAACATGATGAAACCCCATCTCTACCAAAAATACAAGAATTAGCTGAGCATGGTGGTGCACGCCTGTAATCCCAGCTACTCGGGAGGCTGAGGCAGGAGAATCACTTGAACCCGGGAGGCAGAGGTTGCAGTGAGCTGAGATCATGCCACCACACTCCAGCCTGGGCAACAGAGGGAGAATCCATCTAAAAAAAAAAAAAAAAAAGAAAAGAAAAGAAAAGAAAAAAGAAACAACGCAATTATCATCAATTCCCTTAGCAACGGATCCTTTAGAACATAATGCTCTTAACAACAGCACCCTTAGCAACAACATCCTTGACAACAGTGTACTTAGCAACAGTGCCTTTAGCTAAAATGGCCTTTGGTAAAATCAACTTTAGCAACAATGCCCTTATAAAAGATGCCCCTTGTAACAGTGTCCTTAGCCAGAATCCCTTTAGGAACAATGCCTTTACCAAAATGTATTTGCAACAATGTCCTTAGCAAGAGTCCTTTTGTAACAATACTCTTAGAAACAATGCTCTTACTAACATTCCCTTAGGAACAACACTGTCGGTGACATTAATGCTCTTAGCAACAATGACCCTTGAAATAATGCCCTTCAAACAATGTCCTTAGAAACAATTGTACTTAGACACAATGACCTTTCATAACAAATGCCCTTAATAACAACCCCGTCAGCAACAATGCCCTTAGCCTCAGTTCCTTGAGTAACAGTGCTATTAGCAGTAAACCCTTAGGTAAGATGCCTTTACCACAGTGCTTTCAGTAATAACGTGTTTAACTTCAACACCCTTAGAAACAATGTTCTTAGCAAAAATGGCCCTTAGCAACAA
The DNA here is from genome assembly GCF_000001405.40 of Homo sapiens. NCBI lineage: Eukaryota > Metazoa > Chordata > Mammalia > Primates > Hominidae > Homo > Homo sapiens. The sequence continues at coordinate 66,938,401 of NC_000009.12, forward strand.
AGCTCTTATGGATTCACTAAGAAACAGTCCCCTTAGCAACAGTGCCTTTAGCAATAATCACTTTAGCAACAAGACACTTTACAAAAGTGCCTTGCAATAATGTACCTAACATCAACATTCTTAGCCATAATGAGTTGTAGTAAAAATTATCTAAACGTATTTCTAGCATCAGGGCCCTTAACATCAAAACTCTTAGATTTAACGACTATAACAATAATATCTTTAACACAGTTCCTTCGTAACAGCCCCTAACAATAGTCTTGGGAACAATGCCTTTACTAAAATGCATTTAAGTTAAACGGCCTTAGCAGCACTGTCCTTGGCAATATTAGATCTTAGTGGCAATGCTCTCAGCAGCAGTGGTACTCAGCAATGATTTCTCTTACAACACCCTTAACAACAATACCCATAACAGCAGCACACTTTAAAAAACAGGCTTAGCAACAATGTCCTTAACATCAATGCCTTTTGGAACATCAACCTCAGCGACAGTTGCACTTACTAAGAGTGCCTTTGGCATCAGTCCCCTTAGCAATACCACCATTCAAACCAATACCCCTTAGCCAAAATGATTCTAATAACGGCACACTTTATTCTTTTTGACAGAGTTTCCTTCTTGTTGCCCAGGCTGGAGTGCAATGGCGTGATCTCGGCTCACTGTAACCTCCGCCTCCCAGGTTTAAGCCATTCTCCTGCCTCAGCCTCCCAAGAAGCCGGGATTACAGGTGTGCACCACTACGCCCAGCTGATTTTGTAATTTTAGTAGAGATGGGGTTTCACCATGTTGGCTGGTCAGGCTGGTCTCAAACTCCTGACCTCAAGTGATCCACCGGCCTCGGCCTTCCAGAGTGCTGGGATTACAGGCATGAGCCAGCGTGCCCGGCCAACAGCACACTTTCAAACAATACCTTAACATCAACATCCTTAACTCTCTTTGCAACAATACCCTTAGGATTAAGTCCCTGAGCAATAGAGTCATTAACAGCAGTGTATTTAGTAGCAATGCCTCTTTACTGTAATACACTTAACAATAATGAACATAGTAACAATGCCCTTAGCCATAAAGGACTTTACAACAACAACCTTAGCAACGACACTCACAGTGACAGTGCCCTTCAAATGAGTTTCTTAGAAACAGTGGTCTTAGGATCAACATTTTAGCATGAATGCTCTTTGCAACAATTATTCTAGGAAAAGTGCTTCTAGCAACTAGCCCTTTAGCAACAACACACTGAACAAGAATGCTCTAGCAAAAATGTACTTAATAACAACATCCTTAGCAAAAATACCCTTAGCAAAAATGAGTCTTAGTAACAGAGCCTTAATGTCAATGTCCTTAGCTACAATGCCCCTAATATCATTGTCAGAGTGACAATATCCTTAGCAACAATAGGCCACATCAACAAAACACCTAGCAGCAAGTTCCTCAGTGACAATGTGCTTAATATAAATATCCTTTATATTTATATAGGATAAAGGACTCACAATGTCCTTTAGCAACTCTTATAGGCAATGGCCTTAACAATAATATTCATAATAATATTTTCCTTACCACAGTACTTAACAACCTTTGCACAGCACCCTTGGAAAAAAGCCAATTTAGCAAAACCTTTCTTGGCTACCAACCATAGCAACAATGCCCTAAGCAATAACACCTTTAGTATCATTTCCCATAGAAACAGTGGCTATAAAACAAGGCCATCAGCAAGAGCATGCTTAGCAAAAATATCTTTAGAAACAATACTCTTGGCATCAACACCTTAAAAACAACCTCATTATTATAACTGCCTTTAATAAAAATGCCATGAACAACCAGGCCCTTAGCATTGGTGCAGTATCAACAGTGTCCTTAGAAACAGCACCATTAACAACAACTCTGTGAGCAGCACTATTTGCAGCAATGTCCTTATTAACAATGTATTTAGCTAGAGTACCCTTAGCAATTGGCTCTTAGCAACATCACATTTGGAAACAGTACTCATAGCAGCAGCTCCCTTATCAACATCACTCGTAGCAAAATCTGTTTTATTTTCAACACTCTTACTATCAAGGCCTTTAAGAACAATGACTCTAAGAAAATAGCCCATAACAACAATTTCTTTAAATTCAACACTCTTTCCTTAGGAACAGCACCTTTAGCACCAATGATCTTAGCAACAGTAGCCTCTGCAATAGTGGCCATGGCCACAATGTTCTTAGTAACAGCACCTTTAGCAAAAACATCCAACAACAACATTAACATCAATGCCTTTGGCTGGGCACAGTGGCTCATGCCTATAATTCCAGCACTTTGAGAGGTGGGATCGGGAGGATTGCTTTAGACCAAGGGTTCAAGACCAGGTTGGGCAATGTAGTGAGATCTCATCTCTACAAAAAGAAAAATTAAAAAAATTAAAAAGCTAGCTACATGATATGGTTTGGCTGTATCCCCATCCAAATCTCATCTTGCATTGTAGCTCCCATAATTCCCACGTGTTATGGGAGGGACCCAATGGAAGGTAATTGAATCATGGGGGTGGGTCTTTCCCTTGTTGTTCTCATAATAGTGAATAAGTCTCATGAAATTTGATGGTTTTATAAAGGGGAGTTTCCCTGCACAAGCTCTCTTGCCTGCTGCCATGTAAGATGTGACTTTGCTCCTCTTTTGCCTTCCGCCATGATTGTGAGGCCTCTCCAGCCATGGGGACTGTGAGTCAATTAAATGTCTTTACTTTAAAAATTACCCAGTCTTGGGTATGTCTGTATTAGCAACATGAGAACAGTCTAATACACTAGGCATGGTGGTGTGTGCTTGTTGTCCCAGTTGCTTTGGAGACTGAGGCAGGAGGATCACTTTGAGCACAGCAGTTCAAGCCTGCAGTGAGCTGTGATCACGCAACTGCACTCCAGCTTGGGTGACAGAGTGAGACCCTGTCTCAAAACAAAACAAAACAAAACAAAACAAAAATGCCTTTAAGAACAGCATGTTTAACAAAAGACCCTCAGCAATGACTTCCTTAGCCACAACAACCTTGGCAAAAATATTATTACTACCATTCTCTTAGCAATTAAGTCCTTAGGAATAATGCTCTGAGAAAAAAAGTGCTTTTAGCAACAGTTTCCTTAGAAACACTAGTCATAGCAATAACACCCTTAGCAAAACTTTCTTTGCACAATAACTTCAAGGCCTTAAAGAACAATGCCCTTACAAAACTTTTTTGACATCAACACCTGCCTTATACCATTTTGTGTTGCTCGAAATAAATACCTGAGGATGGGTAATTTATACAGAAAAACTATTTAGTTGGTTCTCAATTCTGATGGCTGGGAAGTTCAAGATTGGACATCTGTGTCAGGTGAGGGCCTCAGGCTGCTTCCACTCATGGCAGAAGATGAAGTGGAGCTGGTGTGTGCAGAGCTCACATGATGAGAGAGAGAGAGAAAGAGAGCAGAAAGGTCTCAGGCTCTTTTTAACAACCAGCTCTGGCAGGAACTGATAGACGACACACTCAGCCTCAAGGAAGGAGATTAATCTGTTAATAAGGGATTTGGTCATATGACCCAAACACTTCCCATTAGGCCCCATCTCCAACATTGGGGATCAAATTTCAACATGAGGTTTAGAGGGGACAAACATCCAAACCATAGCAATACCCTTAAGAACAATAACCTTACCAATAGTACCCTTATCAAAAATGCCCTTAACAACAGCTTTCTTAGCAACAGTACAGTTACTAACAGCACTCATAGCAAAACCTTAATCTTCAATAACCCTTTTAATATCAATGCCTTTAAGAATGACAATCTTGACCAGATATGGTGACTAATGTCTGTAATCCCAGCACTTTGAAAGGTTGAGGCAGGAAGTTTGCTTGAGGCCGGCAGTTTGAGGTCAGTCTGGGCAATATAGTGAGATGCTGTCTCTACAAAAAATTTTTTAAAAAAGTCAGGTATGGTGACCTGTGCTCGTAGTCCTAGCTACTTGGGAGGCTGAGGTGAGAAAATTGCTGGAGCCCAAGAGTTTGAGGTTAGTGAACCATGATCATAACACTGCACTCCAGCTTGGGCGACAGGGCTAGACTCTGCCTGTTTTTTTTTTAAAAAAAAAAAAAAAAAAAAAAGAGGACCTTCAAAATTGCTTCCATCAACAATTACCTTTGCAAACTTTCCATCAGCAGCAATGCTCCCAGCAAGAACATCTTTTGCAACAATGCTTTTAACATATCTCATTTTGCAACATAGAAACAAATGCACTTAGGAACAGCATCCTTAACAACAACTTTCTTTACAACGATATTAACACAAGAGTCTTGCAACACCCTTAACAACAAGTTTCCTTTGCAACAGGGCCATAACATCAACACTCTTGGTAATTGCATTGGTACCAAAACTTATCTGTGACAATATCTTGAACATTAATGCCTTTAAGAGAAATGCCCTTAAAAATACCTTTAGCAAGCATTTCCTTAGCAAACACGCTCCTAGCAACAGAGAGTAAGTTTTGTAAGGGCATGTGAATACAAAGGCAGAGACTGGAGTGATGCCAAGAAATGTGAAAGATTTCCAGGAACCATCAGAAGCAAGGAAAAACGCATGGAAAAGATTCAGAGTGCTCAGAAGGAAGCAACCCTACCACCACCTGATTTGGACTTCTAAGCTCCAGAACTGTAAGAGAAATTTCTTTTGTTTTAAGCCACCTCGTTTGTGGTACTTTGATATGGCAGCCCTAGGAAACTAATACAATTCTCTTAACAAAAAGGCAACAATTTCCTTAGCAATAATAAACTTAGAAATAATGCCTTCTCAACAATGACTTTGCCAACAGTGGCCATAGCAGCCACACCCTCAGCAAAAGCAACTTAGTGCAGATTTCTTAGCAAAGCACGCCAAAACACACTAACAAACATACTAAGAAAACACAAAACACACTAATACTAACAAAGAAAGTGCCTTTCTAAAAACTGCCTATCAACAATCTTATCAACACATTTCATAGCAAAAATTTCCTTAGCACCTTTGCCCCTAGCAATGTTGCCTTTAGCAACAGTTTTCGTGGCAGTAGTGACCATCCAACCTTGATTTAGCAAATGCATCCTTAGCAAAAACTTTCTTGCAACACCACCCTTAATACTAACACCTTTAAGAGCGATGTCTTTAGCATAAGGGCCCTCCCAACAATATCATTAGCAAAAACTTGACAAAATGTGCTTAGCAACCGCACTCTTTGAAAAAGTTCCATTAATAGCAACATACTTAATAACAATGTCTTTAGCAACGGTGGTCATAGGAATTGCTCCTTCTGCAAGAGTGGCTACTGTAATTGTGACCAGAGCAATAATGGCTATATCAGCCATGCATTTAGCTACAGTGGCAGTAACAACTATGTCCTTGGTGGCAGTATGTGTGGGGAACATTTCTTAGCAACAACACCCTTATCTAAGAGGCCCTAGGAGCAAAATCCATTGCAACACTATATGCAGCAACAATGTCCTTAATTATTAGGTTGATGCAAAGGTGATTGCGATTTTTGCCATTTCAGTGGCAAAAACCGCAATCACCTTTGTACCAACCTAATACAATTCCCTTGGCGACAATCTTCTTAGCAACAACACCCTTGGCAACAAAACTCTTAGCAATATCCTTAGAAACATTGTCTTTAGCAACATTTCTTAGCAATGGTGCCCATAGCAACAGTTCCTTAGTAACAGCAACCTTAGAAGAAACCCCCTTTGCAAGAGCACATTTAACATCACTGCCTTTAATGAAAAACCACTTAATAAAGAAGTCCTGGCTGGACGCGCTGGCTCACGCCTGTAATCCCAGCACTTTGGGAGGCCGAGGTGGGCAGATCACGAGGTCAGGAGATCAAGACCATCCTGGCTAACATGGTGAAACCCCGTCTCCACTAAAAATACAAAAAATTACCTGGGCGTGGTGGCAGGCGCCTGTAGTCCCAGTACTCGGGAAGCTGAGGCAGGAGAATGGCGTCAACCCGGGAGGCGGAGCTTGCAGTGAGCGGAGATCGCGCCACTGCACTCCAGCCTGGGAGACAGAGCGAGACTCCATCGATGGCCTGATGGCCTGCAGGTGTCTGTTGGCCTGCTCTTCCGCCAGTGTGCTTTCGATGACCAGCTGCTTGTGTCTTCTTCTGCTGATGTGTTCCTTATGATGTCCAGCTGCTTGCGTCCCTGCCTTGCTAAGGTCTCTGGTTTTTATAGGCCCATGATGGGGGCACGGCAGGCCAGGGTGGTCTTGGAAAATGCTACATTTCGGCATGAAAGCAGAAGTGCCTGTCCTTACCTAGGTCCGTGGGGGTGGAGCCCTAGCCAGGGACCACGTCCTCCTCTACCCAACACTTCCCTTCTCCCCTTCCCTATCATTTAAAGGGACCACGCTCTTCCCTTCCCAGCACTTCCATATCAGTTTGGTACACAGGTAAACTTGTGTCATGGAGGTTTGTTGTACAGATTGTTTCATCATCCAGGTATTAAGCCTAATGCCCATTTGTTATTTTTCCCGTTCTTCTCTCTCCTCCTATCCTCCACCCTAATGTTTCCCTCTGTGTGTCCGTATGCTCTCATCGTTTAGCTCCCACTATAAGTGAGAACATGCTGTATTTGGTTTTCTGTTCCTGTATTAGTTTGCTAAGGATAATGGCCTCCAGCTCCATTAATGTTTGCGCAAAGGACATGATCTTATTCTTTTTTATAGCTGCATAGTTTTCCATGGTGTATATGTACTACATTTTCTTTATCCAGTCTATCATTGTTGGGCATTTAGGGTGATTCCATGTCCTTGCTGTTATGAATAGTGCTGCAGTGAACATATGTGTGTATGTGGCTTTATAATAAAATGATTTATGTTCTTTTGGGTATATGCCCAGTAATGGGATTGCTGGGCTGAATGACATTTCTGTCTTTAGGTCTTTGAGGAATCATCACACTGTCTTCCAAAATAGTAGAACTAATTTACACTCCCACCAACATTGTATAATTGTTCCTTTTTCTCCACAACTTCGCCAACATCTGTTTTTTTTTTGCTTTTTGCTTTTTAATAATAGCCATTCTGATGAGAACACATGGACACATAGAGGGTAGCAACACACACTGTGGTATCTCAAAGGGTGGAGGGTGGGAGGAGGGAGAAGGTCAGGAAAGATACCTAATGAGTACTAGGCTTAATACTTGGGAGATGAAATAATCTGTACAATAACCCCCCATGTCACAGGTTTACCTGTGTAACAAACCTTCACATGTAACCCTGAACTTAAAATAAAAGTTAAAAAAAAATTACCAATTAAAAGAAGAAATTTCAGGTTTTTAAAAAGAAATTGTAACAGTTCTGCTGAACAATGTTTCAGGATATCATTTTCTCTTAGAAAAACATGTATTCTGCTGCTGTTGGGTGGAGTGTTCTATAAATGTTAGGTATAGTTTATAATGTTTTATTATTTTAAAAAATCACCATTCTGACTGGTGTGAGATGGTATCTCACTGTGGTTTTGATTTACATTTCTCTAATGATCACTGATATTGAGCTTTTTTTCATATGATTGTTGGCCGCATGTATGTCTTCCTTTGAAAAGTATCTGTTCACGTCCTTTTCTCACTTTAATGGGGTTGGTTTTTTCTTGTAAATTAGTTTAAGTTCCTTATAGATGCTGGGTATTGGACCTTTGTCAGATGCATAGTTTGCAAATATTTTCTTGCATTCTGTAGGTTGTCTGTTGACTCTGTTGATAGTTTCTTTTGCTGTGCAGAAGGTCTTTAGTTTAATTAGATCCCATTTGTCAATGTTTGTTTCTGTTACAATTGCTTTTTGTGTCTTTATCATGAAATCTTTGCCTGTGACTGTTCTGAATGGTATTGCCTAGGTTGTCTTCCAGGATTTCTATAGTTTTGGGTTTTACATTTAAGTCTTTAATCCATCTTGAGCTAATTTTTTTATATGGTGTAAGGAAGAAGTTCAATTTCAATCTTCTGTGTATGGCTAGCCAGTTATCCTAGCACCATTTATTGAATAGGGAATATTTTCCCCATTGCCTGCTTTTGTCAGGTTTGTTGAAGATCAGATAGTTGTAGGTGTGTGGTCTTACTTGTGGGTTCTCTATTCTGTTCCATTGGTTTATGTGTCTGTACCAATAATAAATTTGTACAAATAAATTTGTACCAGTACTATGTTGTTTTGGTTACTGTAGCCCTGTAGTATAGCTCAAAGTCGGGTAGCGTGATGCCTCCAGCTTTGTTGTTTTTGCTTAAGATTGCCTTGGCTATTCGTGCTCTTATTTGGTTCCATATGAATGTTAAAAGAGTTTTTTTATAGTTCTGTGAAGAATGTCAGTGATAGTTTAACAGGCATAGCATTGAATCTGTAAATTGCATTGGGCAGTATGGCCATTTTAACAATATTGACTCTTTTTTTCTCTCTCTCTCTTTTGAGATGGAGTCTGGCTCTGTCGCCAGGTTGGAGTGCAGTGGCACAATCTTGACTCACTGCAACCTCCGCCTCCCAGATTCAAGCGATTCTCCTGCCTCAGCCTCCCGAGTAGCTGGGACTACAGGTGCACAACACCATGCCCAGCTAGTTTTTGTATTTTTAGTAGAGACGGGGTTTCACCATGTTGGCCAGGATGGTCTCAATCTCTTGACCTCATGATCTGCCCACCTCAGCCTCCCAAAGTGCTAGGATTATAGGTGTGAGCCACTGTGCCTGGCCAACAATATTGATTCTTCTTATCCATGGGCATAGAATGTTTTTCCATTTGTTTGTGCCTTCTCTGATTTATTTGAGCAGTGGTTTGTAGTTCTCCTTGTAGAGACCTTTCACCTCCCTTGTTAGCTGCATTCTTAGGTATTTTATTCTTTTTGTTGCAGTTGTGAATGGGAGTTTGTTCCTGATTTGGCTCTTGGCTTGACTTTTGTTGGTGTATAGGAATGCTAGTAATTTTTGCACATTGATTTTGTATCCCGAGATTTTCCTGAAGTTGCTTATCAGCTTAATAAGCTTTTGGGTTGAGACTATGGGGTTTTCTAAAAATATGATCATGTCATCTGCAAACAGGGATAATTGACTTCTTCTCTTACTATCTGAAAGTTCTTTATTTCTTTATCTTGCCTGATTGCCCTGGCCAGAACTTCCAATACTATATTTAATAGGAGTAGTGAGAGAGGGCAACCTTGTCTTGTGCCAGTTTCCAAGGGGAATGCTTCCAGCTTTTGCCCATTAAGTATGATATTAGCTGTGGGCTTATCATATATGGTGCTTATTCTTTTGAGGTATGTTTCTTCAATACCTAGTTTATTGAGAGTTTTTAACATGAATGAATGTTGAATTTTATTGAAAGCCTTTTCTGTATCTTTTGAGATAATCATATGGTTTTGGCCTTTAGTTCTGTTTATGTGATGAATAACATTTATTGGTTTGTGTAGGTTGAACCAACCTTGTATCCCGGGGATGAAGTCTACTTGACCGTGGTGGATACGCCTTTTGATCTGCTGCTCAATTCGGTTTGCCAGTATTTTGTTGAGGATTTTTGCATCAACATTCATCAAGAATATTGGCCTGAAGTTTTTTGTTGTTGTTGTTGTTGTATATCTGCCAGGTTTTGGTATCTGGATGATGCTGGCCTCATAGAAGGAGTTTGGGAGGAATCCCTCCTCCTCAATTTTTTTGAATAGTTTTGGTATGAGTAATACCAGCTCTTCTTTGTACATCTGGTAGGATTCAGCTGTGCATCTGTCTGGTCCTGGGCCTTTTTTGGTTGACAGGCTACTTATTACTGATTCAAGTTTGGAGCTTATTTTTGGTCTGTTCGGGGACTCAATTTCTTCCTGGTTCAGTCTTGGGAGGGTGTATGTGTCCAGGCATTTATCCATTTCTACTAGATTTTCTAGTTTATATGCATAGAGGTGTTCATAATATTCTCTGATAGTTATTTGTATTTCTGTGGGGTCAGTGGTAATATTGCCCTTGTTGTTTCTGATTGTTTATTTGAATCTTCTTTCTTTTCTTTTTTGTTAGTCTAGCTAGTGGTCTATTTTAATTTTTTCAGAAAATCATCTCCTGGATTTGTTGATATTTTGAATGTTTCTTCATGTCTCTATCTCCTTCAGTCTGCCTGTGTGCAGTTCTAGTTTCAGTCTGTTTTAGAGCTCAAGCTTGAATACATAAGAAGAAAGAAGAAGACTGAGAAGAAGGAGAAGGAGGGGTGGAAGAGGAGGAATAAGAGAGGAGAAATAAGAAGGAGAGAGAGAGGGAGGGAGGAAGAAGGGAAAGAGGAAGGATGATGAGAGGGAGGGAAGGAAAGAGGAAGGGAAGGAAGGAGGAAATCAAGTTAGGCAAATCACCGCTAGGTCATCCTTCAGGTCCTGAGCTCCATACCAAGTTCAGGGGTACATGTGTAGCTATTGAAATGGGAAAGGTTCCCTTGTCCCTTTTGCAGGGCATGTGATGGAGGTGTGGCTTGCTTCTTCAGTGCTTCAGTGCCCCGCTGGTCAAACCTCTAGGGGAGCATACAGACAGGCTGCAGGGCTTCAACCCCATGGCAATGTCTAGGGGTGAATGTTTACTACTCTTATCCAACGTTCAGAGTCTTCTGTTAGTAACATTATGCATTTTGACCATGATTATCAGTGTAATCAGTAGATAAGGCAGAATGTGTTTACTTGATCTGAACCAAACTGGAACTCTGCAATTGGGATGTGTGCAACTGTGCACCTTCAAAATGTCCATGTTGAAATTTTAGAGCAACTGATTAATATGACCAAAAGTACTTAAGAGAAAAGTTTCAAAACACTAATTCTAATTATACCAGCTCTTGTTCTTTTTTATGTTCATGCTTAATATTTTCTTGCTTTATTTTATTTTTTATTTTTTTGAGACAGAGTCTTGCTCCACCCAGGCTGGAGTGTAGTGGTGCAATCTCAGCTCACTGCAATCTCTGCCTCCTGGGTTCACGCAATTCTCTGCCTCAGCCTCCCGAGTAGCTGGGATTACAGGTGCCTGCCACCAGTCGTAACTAGTTTTTGTATTTTTAGTAAAGATGGGGTTTCGCCATCTTGGCCAAGCTGGTCTTGAACTCTTGACCTCATAATACACCTGCCTTGGCCTCTCAAAGTGCTGGGATTACAGGCATGAGCCACCATGCCCAGCCATACTTAATCTTTTAATTTCAAATTTTATATATGAATGTATGTATGTGTCAGTATATATATTCTATGTACATATTGTGTGTGTGTGTATATATACACACACACAGAGAGAGAGAGAGAGGGAGGAAGGATATAAAAATTATATCAAAGAAGAATGTAGTGCTATTTAAACCAAAGAACACACGCACAGCTCTTACTATTATAATCATAGAAAAAAATTAACTGACATTAAAGGGCATTTTAAATGTTCATATATTTTGTCTCTTTTACTCAGCTACTAAAATACTCAAAATGTGGTAAGATTCTCTAATGTTTATATAGTAGAGGTTTTTGTTTAACTAGTTGAGTTGGATTGCTTATCATACAATTGAGAGCTTCGAATATCAGAACAGTTACTTACATGCCAAAATTGCTTATGAATGTTCTGTCATGTCAAAGTTGTTCCATTACCATATAGAAGTAAACTCTGATCTGTATAGATACTATCAGATGGGTGTGGTGGCACATGCCTGTAGTCTCAGTTACATGGGAGGCTGAGGTGGAAGGGTCACCTGAGCCTGGGAGGTTGAGGCTGCAGTGAGCTGCGATCACACCACTGTACTCCAGACTGAATGACAGAGTGAGACCCTGTCTCAAATGAAAAATAAAATGATATTACTAGAATATACTTGTCTAAACTTTTACTTTGAGAAAACAGAAAATCAAACACATTGTTCTCACGGCGTTAACTTTCAAAGAAATGATCTGTAATTTATCTGGTGGAATTCAATGCAGTTATTTTGTTTATAACATTTTTCAAAAGCTGCGGTTTTCCCTGGGTGTGTGTGGGCACAATGCCATTGCGATAACACTCATCTTTTGCAGAGTGCTGAAAGAGTGAGCCAGGACAGCCTTTCGACATTGAACAAGGCAATTCCCAATCTCTTGGTGGGTGAATGGAGGAAGAGTGATATCCTGATTGATGCCTCTACAATTACTTAAAAATATATGGACACTCTAGAAAATTACTCTTTTTGGACCATCCCCTCAGGTCCCTTAAATATCTGTGTCCCTTAAATATCTGTGTCCCTTTACTGAGCAGCAATTTGGGTCAGAAAAAATGGGCTCTGAGGATGCTCAGAAACAAAAGTGTTTTGGGGAGAAAGATATGGTTCTCAAGGCCTGGAGAGGCAAACCATGTCTAGAAAAGGTCCCTGATGATAGAACTCCCTGAGTATTCTTGCAGAAATGAATATCCACCAGGCTTCTTCTTCTTCTTTTTTTTTTTTTTTTTGAGATGGAGTCTGTCTCTGTTGCCCAGGCTGGCGTGCAATGGTGCGATCTTGGCTCAATGCAAGCTCCGCCTCCCAGGTTCACGCTATTCTCCTGCCTCAGCCTCCCAAGTAGTTGGGACTACAGGTGCCTGCCACCATGCCCGGCTAATTTTTTTTGTATTTTTCGTAGAGACGGGGTTTCACCGTGTTAGCCAGGTTGGTCTCGATCTCCTGACCTCGTGATCCACCCGCCTTGGCCTCCCAAAGTGCTGGGATTACAGGCGTGAGCCACCGCGCCCGGCCCCTTGTTTTTCAATCACAAGATATGAGTCATTGCAGGAAACAAATAAAATGGAACCAACACAGAGAAAGGTAGAGATGGAAGAGGTTAAGACTAAATTCTAGAGATGCTGCTTATGCCCTAAGGTCTGTCCTTTAGCATTTTGTAACGTGAGTTAAAGTACGTTTGAGTTGTGTCTTTGTCATTTGCATCCAACAGAGCCCTGGCTGTGTTCACTGAATGGATCTAGTCTCTGAAAATTCACCGACATTTTTGGCTTGGCGCTGTGGCTCATGCCTGTAATCCCAGCACTTTGGGAGGTTGAGACGGGAAGATTACGAGGTCAAGAGATCAAGACTATCCTGGGCAACATGATGAAATGCTGTCTCTACTAAAAACACAAAAAATTAGCTGGGTGTGGTGGTGCGAGCCTGTAGTCCCAGCTACTCAGGAGGCTGAAGCAGGAGAATTGCTTGAACCCAGGAGGCGGCGGTTGCAGTGAGCCAAGGTGGCGCCACCGCTCTCCAGCCTGGCAACAGAACGTGACTCCGTCTCAAAAAAAGAAAAAAAAAAAATTTCAGGGATATTTATGTAGTGACCTGTTATTTAATTTTTCAATAATATAAATCTGTTTCAAGAAAAAGAAATTTTAAACAAACTCTTATGATTTTCTTTCTCCTGAAAATTATTCCAGAACTTAAAAAAAAGGAGAAACAAAACAGAGTAAGTACATTAGCTTTATTCAACATACCATCTTGTCTAGTAGTAAACTACTAAAAACAGTCTCCTGAGTGGAAAAAATATAAATTTTTGTCTATAGCATCAGTGTTGTCCTGCGTGTTTTCATTATTTTCTCCAAATAAATTGGCTCAATATGCTGCTAAGTATTACCATTTATGTTTATTTTGAAGTTCTATATCTTGTCTTTCCTGTTTCATCTGTAAACAGGCAATTATTGCCTCAGTGTGTATTCTGATACATTTTCTCTCTAAATCTATTGTCCAACATCTTGCATATAAAATCTGGCTTTTCTCTCATATATCAAAATCACAGGTCACATAGTCTCAGTGCCAAGAGTTATAAGAACAACTGCTTTATTTCACTCCCATCTCTGTGAATACAAAACTTCAATCTCTAAAGTATTTTGTATCTATTTATAACACTATGTTCCTGGTTTATTATTATATTATTTCATTATTAGTTCTTAAAAACTTAACAAGGTGCTGAATAATTTTGTGAAATATTCCATGGAGAACTACCATTAAAATAGTGATTACTTTAATTATATTTCATCACCTCATTTCACAAGTCATTACAAAACTTCTTAATTGTTTAAAAATGAATGTACTTGGGTGGGGCACAGTGGCTCACACCTGTAGTCCCAGCACTTTGGGAGGCCGAGGAGGCCAGATCACCTGAGGTCAGGAGTTTGAGACCAGCCTGGTCAACATGGTGAAACCCCGTCTCTACTCAAATTACAAAAATTAGCCGGGCATGGTGGCACACGCCTGTAATCCCAGCTACTCAGGAGGCTGAGGCAGGAGAATTGCTTGAACCCAGGAGATGGAGGTTGCAGTTAGCCGAGATCATGCCACTCCAGCCTGGCCGACAGAGCAAGACTCTGTCTAACAAAAAAAAAAAAAAAAAAAAAAAGGAATGTACTTATCAGTCCAAGGGAAATAACTATCAAATTAGTCACTGCCCAAGTATACATCTTTTAGTGAACACAAATTGAGAATTTAGCACTGAATCTCCAAAGATTTAGTTTTTATCTGGGTTTTGAAATTGAATTTTGTTTTGTTTTGTTTTTTGTTTTGAGACAGTGTCGCTCTGTCGCCCAGGCTGGAGTGCAGCGGCGCAATCTCGGCTCACTGCAGGCTTCGCCCCCCGGGTTCACGCCATTCTCTCGCCTCAGCCTCCCGAGTAGCTGGGACTACAGGCGCCCGGCTAATTTTTTGTATTTTCTGTAGAGACGGGGTTTCACCGTGTTAGCCAGGATGGCCTTGATCTCCTGACCTCGTGATCCGCCTGCCTGGGCCTCCCAAAGTGCTGGGATTACAGGCGTGAGCCACCGCGCCCAGCCTGAAATTGTATTCTTAAGTCTCAGAAGGCTGAAGCTTTCAAGACAGGAAGAAGACAGGGATTCCCGAGTTGAACAGAGAGTGGGCCGGGCGCAGTGGCTAACGCCTGTAATCCCAGCATTTTGGGAGGCCGAGGCGGGTGGATTCCGAGGTCAGGAGATCAAGACCATCCTGGCTAACACAGTGAAACCCCATCTCTACTAAAAATACAAAAAATTCGCCGGGCGTGGGGGCTCACGCCTGTAATCCTAGCTACTTGGGAGGCTGAGGCAGGAGAATGGCGTGAACCCGGGAGGTGGAGGTTGCAGTGAGCCGAGATCAGGCCACTGCCCTCCAGACTGGGCGACAGAGCGAGACTGTGTCTCAAAAAAAAAAAAAAAAAAAAAAAGGCCGGGCGCGGTGGCTCACGCCTGTAATCCCAGCACTTTGGAAGGCTGAGGCGGGTGGATCACGAGGTCAAGAGATCGAGACCATCCTGGCCAACATGGTAAAACCTCGTCTCTATTAAAAATATAAAAATTAGCTGGGCGTGGTGGCAGGCGCCTGTAGTCCCAGCTACTCCAGAGGCTGAGGCAGGAGAATCGCTTGAACCCGGGAAGTGGAGGTTGCAGTGAGCCGAGATCATGCCATTGCACTCCAGCCTGGGCAACAGAGTGAGACACCCTCTCGAAAAAGAAAAAACAAAAACAAAACAAAACAAAAAGATAGTAAACAAGAAAATACTAATGTAGTTGTTAACTTTGAGAAGGCAGTAATTTAAGACATGGATGTGAATGCAGATAATGGAAGTAAGGAGAGATCAGTGTAGGCCACAGTCCTGTGCTGAGTGCTGTCTTTACCTGTCTTGTAGGGATGGCTCAGACAAAGTCTTAACAAACAGGCAAATGACTGATTTATCTTTTTAGATTCTAAAGTTCATAAGAATAATAATGAGCTTTATAGTTGACAATAGCTAACTAAAATTTGGTCTAAGGGGAAAAGAGCGCTCAGTGTTAATCAGTCAGTTTAATCTTTCTGTAAACCCTCTCAAAAAGCAAAATTGAATTAGATCATTGTGGTGCACAGATTCTTTTGGTATGTGTGTCCCACCTATAATAAAGTTCTGGGCCAGGCACGGTGGCTCACGCCTGTAACCCCAGCACTTTGGGAGGCCGAGGCGGGCGGATCACAAGGTCAGAAGATCGAGACCATCCTGGCTAATGCGGTGAAACCCCGTCTCTACTTAAGAAATACAAAAATTGGCCAGACGTGGTGGCGGGCGTCTGTAGTCCCAGCTACTCAGGAGGCTGAGGCAGGAGAATGGCGGAGCTTTCAGTGAGCCGAGATCACACCACTGCACTCCAGCCTGGGCGACAGAGCCAGACTCCATCTCAAAAACATAAATAAATAAAATAATAAATAAATAAATAAATAAAGTTATTGGCCAGGAGCGGTGGCTTACACCTGTAATCCCAGCACTTTGGGTGGCCGAGGTGGGTGGATCACCTGAGGTCAGGAGTTCAAGACCAGCCTGGCCAACATGGTAGAACTTCCCTCTCTACTAAAAATACAAAAATTAGCCAGGCATGGTGGCGCAAATCTGTAATCCCAGCTACTCAGGAGGCTGAGACAGGAGACTCGCTTGAATCCAGGAGGCAGAGGTTGCAGTGGGCTGAGATTGCACCACTGCACTCCAGCCTGGGTGACAGAGTGAGATGCCGTCTCAAAAAAAAAAAAAAAAATTTATCTGAGGACTGACCCCACAATGGTGAGCCCTGCCTGCCATGTTTGTGTTACGGAATCATGTCCCATACCTGACCCTATTTATTTAAAGGTAGAACAACTGACCCAACCACATTTTCTCTTTAAAATGTGGGAATTGGGATTGAGAGATACTGGTCTTTCCCTATGGGTCATTTCAACTTAGAATATTTAAGTTTGGGATCGTTGGTGCTTCCATATTTAACCAGCAGCTTAGAAAAGCAGACATAGTCGATCTGTGGAAAGAAAAGCTGAAGTGATGTGGAGAGAGAAGTTGTGAAAAGCGATCAGAGTGCCTGGGAGAGATTTACTTAGGGTAGCTGGAGATGTTCCTGGAGCTCTTTCCAGACTTTGGTTCTAGCTCTTGAAGCTACCAGGCTTCCAGCCTTTAGAATAATTCCATTTTAACCTCAGAGATTTTGCGCTGGTTCAACACCAAACAAAAGAACACTGAATAAGACAGTAATGTGAGTAGAAAGTTCTATGAAATAGAAAAGAAACTTAATGATGCGTCATAGGCCATTGATATTCACTTTCCTCCGTCCCATGTATATAGATCACTTCGCCTCTTCCAAAATTCTTATTTCATAATAAAGATTAACTAGTTATTTAAAAGTTAACCATAGCCTATTTATTGTTTATTAACAAATGTGTTTAAAAGGATCAGGTGCTAAACCTTGGAAGAATATTAAGGCAAGATGTTATGAGATCACAGAAGCTTAGTGCTGAAGGGTCCATGCCTTCACGTGGGTACAGATTCCTCTCTGAGTGCTCATTCACCCATTGTGGTGTGAGCCCTGTGTGAAAACTCTTCAGATGCAGACATGAATAAGACAAGGTGTCTGCTCAAAGTCAACTAGAGGAGACAGTAAGCAAATAATTAGAATGTGGAGCATGCCATAATCGAAGTGGATGGGTGTCATGGGAGCACAGATCATGGGGTATCTAACTTTGCTTTGGAGGTTAAAGTATAGCAGTCGTGAAGACTTCAAAGGGGAGGTGGATTTTTATTGGAACTGTTGAGAATAAACAAGGATATACATATTTTCAACTATGGCCTGAGGGTATATGAGCTTTAAGAGCTGAACTGTTGGGGGCATTCCAGACCAAGAGGAAGTCGTGGGCAGAGGCAGGAAGGTGAAAGGAGTATGCTGTTTTTGGGAGAAGCATAGTTAGTGCAGAGGGGCTATGACTCAGGGCACACAGGGTGGCAGAGTGTGTCCGGGAGATGAAACTGGCTTACAGGCAGGAAGTGAGGAACAAAGGACCTTCTGAACTTCTTATGGAATTTAGACTTCTATAGATAACAGAGAATCACTGTATGAATACACTGTCATACATTCTTTGAGAGAAAACACATTCATTTTTGAGAATCCTCATTCCTGAGTTCTTCTTTTTGTCTGTGGTACAGCTTCCTGCAGCCCCATCCACCAATTACAGACCTATCTTCTTAGTGTGAGTCTAATGTCTCCTCCATGGGAGGGAGCTGTAGAATTTAAAGTTGACCATCCTGCTCATGCCTGAGTTTTCTCTCTCCTGCAACTAATGCCTTCCTCTCTGTCTGAGACCTGGCATGTCAGGGTAGAAGGCCCTTCACCCTCCTTCTCTTGACAAACTCTGATTTATTGACATCTTACTGAATATCCAATGGCTGGAACTGGACTCAAGCTCTTCAGTGTGGTCTGAAGCTGGGGGCAGGAGAGACCTCACTCCCTTCAAACTCACTAAGATATGAGGTGACCTCATTATACCACAGGCTTTTGTCAAGGCCACAGGGACATAAACTCAGGTCACTTTTGTTTCACAGGCGTTATTCTAATATTTGTGTTTTTTTGTTTGTTTGTTTGTTTTTTGAGACGGAGTCTCACTCTGTCACCCAGGCTGGAGTGCAGTGGCATGATTCGGCTCACTGCAGCCCCGCCTCCTGGGTTCAAGCAAATCTTCTCCCTCAGCCTCCCGAGTAGCTGGGAGCACAGGTGCACACCACCACGCCCAGCTAATTTTTGTATTTTTAGTAGAGACAGAGTTTCACCATATTGGCCAGGCAGGCTGGTCTCGAACTGCTGACCTTGTGATCTTCCCACCTTGGCCTCCCAAAGTGCTGAGATTACAGGTGTGAGCCACCACGCCCGGCCTAAATTTGTGTATTTTTAAACTAAAGTGTCAAACTACATTTATCGCCCTCTTCTTAGTTTGGAAAAGTGCTTTGTTTCTGTTAAGATTGTTTTAGGTTTTATCTCTTCACCACACACAGGCTGCTCCTTCCAGTTCAGTATTAGCTGAGGATTTCATTTCAGTCCTCATACAGAGCAGTGGTAACAGCTGAATAAACCAGAGCTGAAAGTGGGCCCATGTCCCTCTTTCCTACCTTTCTTTCACACCTGAGTCTGATTGAGTGCAGTATGCAACTTGGATGAGCGTGTGTATGCAAAGTGCACGTCAGCAATGACCATAGCTGGAACAGGATGGAGCTAGCCACCTCTTTATCATCTCCCTGCTCATTCTTTGATGCAGAAAACTAACCTTGTCTCAAGCATGTGTAAATAATTCATGCAAAGTTACAAGACATGGTTCAAGTCATGTCCCCTCCAACCACATCAGCACCATGAGCAGTCCTTGAGGGTCTTCAGATAATAACAACACTAAGAGTTAGCATATGTTGAATGCTGTACTATGTATATCATTCTAAGGGGAGAAGCTATGTAGAACCAAAAGTAAGCACAGGCAGCTTCAAGCAGCACAGAGAAACACAACACAGGAGGTGGCTTATTTGATTGTCATTGAAGTTGTGAAAAAGTGTTAAAAACAATAAATACAATAGTTTAAAAAAGAAACAAGGAAAGTATTATATACCATAACAAAGTGGGATGTACTCCGGAATGCAAGCCTAGTTCAACAGTCAAAGATCAGTCCATTATACCAATGGGTTAAAGAAGAAAAATCATGTAATCTTATCAATAGATGCATAAAAAGAATTTGACAATATCTAACAATCATTCATGATAAAAACTTTCAGCAGGCTGGGTGTGGTGGCTCATGCCTGTAATCCCAGCACTTTGGGAGGCCAAGGCAGGCAGATCACGAGGTTAGGAAATCGAGACCATCCTGGCTAACACAGTGAAACCTCATCTCTACTAAAAATACAAAAAAAAAAAAAAAAAAAAAAAATTAGCCGGGCATGATAGCGCGCACCTATATCCCAGCTACTCAAGAAGCTGAGACAGGAGAATCACTTGAACCCAGGAAGCGGAGGTTGCAGTGAGCCGAGATCACACCACTGCACTCCAGCCTGGGGGACAGTGTGAGACTCTGCCTCAAAAAACAAAACAAACAAACAAACAGACAAAACAAAAACTTTCAGCAAACTAGCAATAGAGAGAAACTTCTTCAAATTGATTTTTTAAATCTAAAAAACCCCTCCACTTAACATGATACTCAAGCCTGAAAAGTGAGATACTTTCCCACTAAGAACAGGAACAAAACAAGGATGTCTCCTCTTATCACTCTTATTTAACTTTGTGTGGAAAGTCCTAACTAATGCAATAAGACAGAAAAAAGAAATAAAAGGTATACAGATAAGAAAGGAAGTGATAGCGGGGAGCAGTGGCTCAAGCCTGTAATCCCAGCACTTTGGGATATCGAGGGAGGCGGATCACGAGACCAGGAGATCGAGACCATCCTGGCTAACATGGCGAAACCCCGTCTCTACTAAAAATACAAAAAATTAGCCGGGCGTGGTGGCGGGTGCCTGTAGTCCCAGCTACTCGGGAGACTGAGGCAGGAGAATGGCGTGAATCTGGGAGGCAGAGCTTGCAGTGAGCCGAGATCGAGCCACTGCACTGCAGCCTGGGTGACAGAGCGAGACTCTGTCTCAAAAAAAAAAAAAAAGAAGAAAGGAAGTGATAAAACTGTCTTTGTTCATATATGCCATGAGTGCCTATGTAGAAAATCACAAAGAATAAACAAAAAACTCCTAGAATGAATTCTATGTATATAATCTTTTATAAGTGATTACAGCAAGGATGAAGGATACAAAGTTAATTTACAGAAGTCATTTCTTTTTCTATATGCCATCAATGAACAGTTGAAATTTAAAATTAAAAACACAGTGCCATTTACATTAGCACCAAAAATGAAATACTTAGGTATAAGTCTAACAAAATATGTGTAGTATCTATCTGAGGAAAACTATGAAAATCTGATGAACGAAACCACAGAAGATCTAAAAAATCGACTTACTGCATGTTAATGAATAAGAAAATTCAATATTGTTAAGATATCAGTTCTTTCAACTTGATCTACAGATCAGTATTGGGATCAATGCAGTACTTATCAAAATCCAAGCAAGCTACTTTGTAGATATTGACTAGCTGACTCCAAATCTATAGAAAGTCACGAGATGCAGAAAAGCCAACATAATATTAAAGAAGAACAAAATTAGAGAACTAATGCTTACTGACTTCAAGACTTACTGTAAACTTACAGTAATCAAGAGAGTGTGGTATTGGTAAAGAATAGACAAATAGATCAATGGAATAGAACACAGAGTACAGATAGAGACCCTCACAAATATAGTCAATAGATCTTTGACAAATAAGCAAAGGTAATTCAATGGGAAAAAGATATGCTTCTTAACAAATGGTGTTAAAACTACTGGACAACCACATGTAAAAAAATGAATCTAGATACTGACCTTACACTTCTCACAAAAATTAACTCAAAATGGATCATAGACTTAAATTTAAAGGCAAAACTATAAAACTTCTAAAAGATAGCAGGAGAAAATACAGGTGACCTTGGGTTTGACTATGAGTTTTTAAATACAACCCTATAGTGTGACCTATAGAAGAAAAACTTGCTAAGTGGGACTTTATTATAATTAAAAAAATAAAAAAACTTCTACTGCATGGGTGACACTGTTAAAAGAATTAGAAAACAAGTCACAGGGAGGGAGAACATATCTGATAAAGGGCTAGTATTCAAAATATACAGAGAATACTTGAAACTCTACAATAAGAAAACAAATAATCCAACTTAAAAGTGGGCAAAAGGCCGGGCGTGGTGGCTCACACCTGTAATCCCAGCACTTTGGGAGGCAAAGGTGAGAGGATCACGAGGTCAGGAGTTCAAGACCAGCCTGAACAACACAGTGAAACCTCATCTCTACTGAAAATACAAAAATTAGCTGGGCCTGGTGGCACGTGCCTGTAATCCCAGCTACTGAGGAGGCTGAGGCAGGAGAATTGCTTGAACCTGGGAGGCGGAGGTTGCAGTGAGCCAAGATCACACCACTGCACTCCAGCCTGTGTGACAGAGCAAGACTGCATCTCAAAAAGAAACAAAAAAAAGTAGCTGGAATCATACAGTATATATGTTGATATTATTTTTCCAGCTATATTATAAACTCCACATGGGCAACGTATATTCCCTACCTTATATAATGTATAATATATACAATATGTACCTGGTATAATGTATAATATGTACATATTTAATAAACACTCATTATTATAAATATTCACAAATAAATATACATAATAAATGTTCTCTAATCAACCACATAGAGTTTTTTTAACACCTTTGAATAATGCAATAGGAACAATCTATTAAAATAAAACAGAAAAATATTCAAATTTAAATGAAACAAAGCAACTGCCAAATTATTAAATCCAAGTTCCTTATTTTAGGGGTCAAATGCAAATATTCTTATAGCTTTTATTGCACATACATGTTGGCGGTCATGGTAAAAGAAGATACAACTCTCAACTTCAATAAAATGTATTTCAATATTCAATAAAATTTCAATATTATAAGGAAACCAAAATGTTGTGTTAGTACCAGGACAGTTGCGTGTGTACGTACTTGTGATTTCTTTTTCTTTCTTTCTTTTTTTTTTTTTTCTGAAATGGAGTCTTGCCTTGTTGCCCAGGCTGGAGTGCAGTGGCGCCATCTCAGCTCACTGCAAGCTCCGCCTCCCAGGTTCACGCCATTCTCCTGCCACAGTCTCCCGAGTAGCTGGGACTACAGTCGCCCGTCACCATGCCCGGCTAATTTTTTGTATTTTTTTTTTTTAGTAGAGACGGGGTTTCACCGTGTTAGCCAAGGTGGTCTTGATCTCCTGACCCCACGATCCACCCGCCTCCCAAAGTGCTGGGATTACAGGCGTGAACCACTGCGCCAGGCCCATACTTGTGATTTCACGTGCACAGTGAGAGTTTGACTCTTTCATCCTCGCCCAAATACTTTTTCATCCCATGACTGTTGGGCTTTTTTTTCCCTTTCTTTCTTTCTTTTTTTAAGATTGCAACTCTATCAATACTGGGATGTCTATTCAAGCTAGCTAAATATGTTGATTAACTTCTCCACTCCCAGCACCTCCTAGAATCCCACTGCAATAACAACAAATAAGAACAAAGGGGCCGGGCGCAGTGGCTCAAGCCTGTAATCCCAGCACTTTGGGAGGCCAAGGCGAGTGGATCGCTTGAGGCCAGGAGCTCAAGACCAGCCTGGCCAACACGGCAAAACCCCGTCTCTACTGAAAATATAAAAATTAGCCAGGCGTGTTGGTGCGCGCCTGTAATCCCAGCTACTCAGGAAGCTGAGGCAGGAGAAGAGCTTGAACCTGGGAGGCGGAGGTTGCAGTGAGCCCAGATAGCGCCAATGCACTCCAGCCTGGGCCACAGAGTGAGACTCTGTCTCAAAAAAATTAAAAGGAACAAAATGAACCCATTTATACAAAGACTACAAGGGTGAAGAGACTTGGATAGCATGCAGGATATTCACAAGCAATTCTGGAAGAAAAATGGCAGATGAGTGCATTCTGTTATTAAAATCACAGCTCAGAGTCCTCCCAGGAAATGGCTGCGGTGTGTAGGGAGCTGTCTTTCACAGTGATGAAAAGAACTCTAGGTTCAGAGTGGGCAGGTATCTGGAAGAACATTTTTTCGCCAGCATCCCTTTATTTATTGATACGTCGATGAGAATAGTACCACAGCCCAATGACATTTATCATTTCAGTTGGCAGTGTCTCTGAGAGCAAGCTGCAAGATTTTCAAGCCTTCACTGAGTCTTCTACTGACATTTAGCTTAATCTTGACAAGTATATCTGACTACTGCAATGTGTTAATGATCAAGGAGTATGTCAAATTACAACATGTCTGCTGCAGGAAATTATGGGGTAATACAGACAGTGTGCACTGGATCAACCATTATCTATGCCTGGTGTTATGACAAAAAGTGATTGATTTTGGCATCAAAATTAAAGTGTTCATCTGGTTCAACTTGTTCTTTGTACACCGTCCTTCATTATGACAAGCACATATAGCAAAAATACTGTCTTCAATATGAACTGTTGATTATTGATTAAACAGATCACATTTGGATGGGCTGCAGTTTCTGCACGTCTAACGGATGGGATCCTTCTGAGAATGCTAGAGTAGGGAATCATGACACCGAGCCACTTCAGTCATAGACCTTATTCTTGCACTTTTTTTTCTTGCTGGCAATTTTACATAGCAGGTTGAGAAAGCTACTCTATGCTAGTATAGACTATACACCAATAATTTTGATAATGAGTTCCAGGATGTATTTTTCTTCTTATATATTTTCCTTCCTACCATGATACTAGTAATTTATAAGGGGTCTGTGTAGTTTGAATGTATTTGAATAACTTTAGCTCTACTGTTTGATCTGACCCAAAGAAGCGAAGAGGACGTAAATATTCCCATTTAGAAGCCCAAAGTCAGTGAGATGAAACCCAACATCAAGAAATTGAAGCAAAGTTACTTGTGGATAAACAATGCATTAGGTAAGTTGTCTAGAGCATAATAATTAGATTTTCTGGCTTTCAAAAATTTGGATTGCAATAAGAGGAAACTTCATGCTATTTTTACAATTTTCAGTACAAAGGGGTGTATATCTAGAAACAATAAAGTTGACATATTTGAGTACCTTTTCAAAAAAAGGTAACCATAACCTTTTTTTTTTTTTTATTAAAAGGACCAGGTGCTAAACCTTGGAAGAATATTAAGGCAAGAGTATTAAGGCATTTTAATTCAGCTTAAGTATCATGTTAAGTGGTGAAATTCAGATGTAATAGAATGCATAAAAGTGTTAATCACCAGTGCTTAAGATGGCCCACAGAGGTTGTTCTACCAGGCATATAGAAATCTTTCTCACTATGCCTGTTTGTGAGCAGGATCAGTGGTTTTGCACTGCAGGCACACATTTCATTTTGTCAAATATTTTTGCAACCTCCCCTCTACTTAATAGTTTAATCACTACATCTATACAAACTACTTGGTCAATGAGGGCCCATTTTACTTGTGTCTTCCAGAAATATTTTGCATTACCCCAAATGACATCTTCCAGCAGATCTTCCTCAGATATAAAGTTTCCAAAAAACTGGCAAATAAAATTACTATCTTCAGAACTTTTCTGTATTTAAAAATAACAATAAAAAGCTA
Source organism: Homo sapiens (assembly GCF_000001405.40). NCBI lineage: Eukaryota > Metazoa > Chordata > Mammalia > Primates > Hominidae > Homo > Homo sapiens. The sequence goes on from NC_000009.12 coordinate 66,963,349, forward strand.
TGAATTTACATAAAATTCAAACCATTGTGTTTATAGCCACAGTCCTCCACACAATTTTCATGAGACCATTGGTAAAATCATATATAAGCAACATTCCTGTATTCCTAGAAAGTGTTTATATTTCAAAAGCACTTTATTTTTCCTCAGATATTCCCCTGAAGAAATTTGGAAAGAAATTGAAATTGCCTGTGGTTGTAGCCAATTCACCTGTAAAGAATATAAAATTCTCCCCATGAACTGGTCATCCCAGTGTCACACTTACAAGTCTGAGAAAAGTGCAAGAGGTTATTCGGAAGTATTCCTTCCTTTTTCAATTTTCTCTTTAATTAGAATAATTGGTAAGAACTAGCAGAATTGGTATCATGTTTTTCTTAAATGTTTGGTAGAATTCTTCACTGAAGCCATTTAGACCTAGCATTGGAGTCTTTGTGGAAAGGTTTTAAATTACAGCTTCAATTTCTTTAATAGATACCGGGCTATTCTGTCTGTTTGTTTTTGAGTAAGACTAGATAATTGTGTCTTTGGAGACATTTGTCCACTTCATCTAAGTTGTCAAATCTGTTGGCACAATGTTGTTCATAATTACCATTTATTATCTCTTTAGCATCTGTTGAATCTGTTGTTATGTTACTTCTCTTATTCCTGATAGGTTGTTTTTGTATTCTCTCTTTTTTTCCTGATAAGCCTGAATAGAAGTTTATCAATACTATGGACCTTCTCAAAGAGACAGAGTTTGGTTTCATTTATTTCCTGTAAATGATTTTTCCTGTGTTCTATTGCATTGATTTCTACACTGATGCTTTTTACTTCCTTTCTTCTGCTTACTGTTGGTTTTATTTTCTTTTCTAGTTTCTTTTTTTTTTTTTTTGAGATGGAGTTTTGCTCTTGTAGCCCAGGCTGGAGTGCAATGGCAAGATCTGGGCTCACCGCAACCTCCCCCTCCTGGGTTCAAGCGATTTTCCTGCCTCAGCCTCCCGAGTAGCTGGGATTACAGGCATGCATCACCACACCCAGCTAATTTTGTATTTTTAGTAGAGACTGGGTTTCTTCATGTTGGTCAGGCTGGTTGAACTTCTGACCTGAGGTGATCTGCCCGCCTCAGCCTCCCAAAGTGTTGGGATTACAGGCATGAGCCACCATGCCCAGCCTCATACCTGATTTTATTGTGCTTTGCTTTACTGCACTTCTCAGATACTGCATTTTTTATAAATTGAAGGCATGTGGCAACCCTGCATTGAGCAAGTCTATCAGCACCATTTTCTCCAATAGCATGTGCTCACTTTGTGTCACTGTATCACATCTGGTAACTCTTGCAATATTTTAAATTTGTATTATTATGTCTGTTATGTGATCTGTGATCAGTAATCTTTGATGTTACTATTGTAATTGTTTTGGGGTGCCACAACTGTGCCAACATAAGATGACAAACTTGCCAGTAAATGTGTGTATTCTGACTGCTCCACCGACCATCCCCCATCTCTTTTTTCCTCTCTTCAGGCCTCTGTATTCCCTGAAACAGAACAGTATTGAAATTAGGCCAATTAATAATCCTACAATCGCCTCTAAGTGTTCAAATGAAAGGACGAATCACGTATTTCTCACTTTAAGTCAAAAGCTAGAAATGATTGAGCTGAGTGAGGAAGGCATCCTGGAAACCAAGATAGATGGGGAGCTAGGCCTCTTTCACCAAACAGTTGGCCAAGCTGTGCATGCAAAGAGAATGTTCCTGGAGGAAATTAAAAGTGCTACTCCAGTAAACACACAAGTGATGAGAAAGTGAAACGGCCTTATTGCTGATATGGAGAAAGTTTGAGTGCTCTGGACAGAAAATCAAACCAGCCACAACATTCCCTTAAACCAAAGCCTAATCCAGAGGAAGGCCCTAACTCTCTTCAGTTCTATGAAGGCTGAGAGAGGTGAGGAAGCTGAAGAAGAAAAGTTGGAAGGTAGTAGAGGTTGGTTCGTGAGGTTTAAGGAAAGAAGCCATCTCCGTAAATTAGCTTTTAAAACTTTTTTAAGCAGGCAATCTCTGACTTTGCTTCAGTAACATTTCCTTCTCCTGCTCTTTCTCATTTTCCCATTGCTCATGCTTATACCTGCCCATCTTTCTCTAGTATTAAAGTTTGGATAAATATTTGATCTTTGAATACTATTTTATATTGTTATATGCCTCTGATTTTATCCTCTGGACAAACTTGAGAGACAGTGCAAAAATTTCTTTATATCTTTATAATATAAAGAATTATGGCAAATTTTAAAAGAAGTACCAGCTTTATTGAGGTATAATTTACGTATAATAAACTGCACCCTCTCCACCCCCTCCCCTCACTGTCTACCAAAAAATGTCTGATGATATCCTGGCAATCTGACCCTGCCTGGAAAACACCATAGAGAAAGACAGCAATGTGCTTCCTCGCTCTGGAGTTCTATTGGATTTTAATGGCCATAGACATATTATGAGCCACACAAACCAGCACTAAAGTAGAGAATTTTTTCCAGAAAAGGTGTGCTAAAAAAGCATGTAAATGAAAGCTTTTATTTGTTTTATTTTCAGCAACAAAGACATAAAATTATTAGGTAGGCCATGATACACAAACACTAACCACTGTACCATCCTTTGATGTTCATTGCAATGGATTCAATGTTTGTGCCCCCCACACAAATTCATATGTTGAAATCCTAGCCCCCAAAGTGATGAGATTAGAAGGGAGGATTGCTGAGAAGTGATTCAGTCATGATGGGCCCTCGGAAATGGGATTAGTGCTCTTATCAAAGAGACTAGGAGCACTGGCTTGCCCCTATCACCACATGAGGACACAGCAAGAAAGCACCCATCTATGAACCACAAAGCAGGCCTTCACCAGACACTGAATCTGCCAATGCCGTGATCTTGGACTTCCCAGCCTCCAGAACGATAAGAAACACATTTCTGTGGTTTATAAGTCACCCGGTCTATGGTATTTTGTTGTAGCATCCCAAATGGACGAAGACATAGTTCACTGTCAGTTCAATTGACCATGAAGGATTATGGGGCCTGTGTGTCCCTGGCACTGTGATAGGAACTGGGGAGAACACAGAGGGAAATTAATAATACTTCAGCCTGTATTTTAATAACTTAGAGTTTAGTAGAAATAAACTGAAAGGCATAGCAGGGTGAAAAAAAAAGTGTAAGTAATGTACTAATATTTGTTGAGCCCCACCATATGCTAGACTCTATTGTCTTACTTATACCTCTCAGCAAACCTATAAGTTAGGTCCTATTAGCTGATTTATAGATGGCAAAATAGGCTCAGTGAGGTCAAGTAACTTGCCCTATGTTATAGAGTTATCAGTGGGAAAGTTGAAAGTGGTCAAGGGCTATTTATAGTCAGGAGAAATTAAGTGAGTTTAGAGTCATTCCTTTTCTGTAGCATTACATTAGTCCTGAAATAAAGCAAAATGTATCAAATTCATATACCATATATAAATATATATTTTATTTTATTATTATTTTAAGACAGAGTTTCAGTCTTGTTGCCCAGGCTGGAGTGCAATGGTATGATCTTGGCTCACTGCAACCTCCGCCTCCTGGGTTCAAGTGATTCTCCTGCCTCAGCTTCCTGAGTAGCTGGGATTATAGGCATGGACCAACACATCCGGCTAATTTTGTATTTTTAGTAGAGACATGTTGGTCAGGCTGGTCTCGAACTCCTGACCTCAGGTGATTCACCTGCCTCGGCCTCCCAAAGTACTGGGATTTCAGGCATGAGCCACTGCGCCTGGTCCTGTATTTTAGATAAGAAAGATGCTTTATCTGTCTCCCATTGGAATACACTTTTGTTGTTCGTTTTTTTTTAACTTAATTAAACTTGAAAGCCAACTTTTGTCAAAACAGAAGAAAATAAAGCAATTTTTAAAAAAATCCAGTGTTTAAAATACTTGTCATTTATAATATATGCATATAACAGAAAAGTAGAAAATAATTCTACATTTTAAAAGCTTAGCTTCTACATGGCAAGTGTGGGACATAAAGTTGATACCTGACCATTAACTGGATATATTCTAGATTTTCACATTTAATGATAATGGATGTGTGCGTCTCATGGTCAAACTAAAATGATTTATTTTTTACAAATTATCTTTATCATTAGCAAACAAGTCTTACTTTTATTAGTCAATTATAAGTCCACAGAGATATAGGAGCTCAATTTGTTACAGGGAACTTGAGCATTCCATGGATTATCTGAGCTGAATTTGAAGAATGTACTGTGGAGATCTTCTATGTGATATATATAAAGGACGTAGGTCAACTACTGGTTATTATTTAGAAAATACTTTAGGGAAAAAAATTATCTTCTGGGGCCAATAATTGAGTTCTATTAAACTACAGAGGTAGATAATTTTGAAATGAGAAATCAAAATATATTTTGATTTTATATTACTCATATTTTCATTTTATTCATAAAGTTTTTTGGAAAAAGACAACAGAAATTGTACTTTGTTGAGAAGACTCCTAGAGCCAAATAGTCACAGACTCAGAATACACAGAGACAAGCAAAGATGGTTCCAGCAAGCTCTAAGGACACAGACATGTGAAAGAGGCGCTGAAGACACACGAGGACTGATGCATGGTAGATGTCATCCTGATATGGCTGGGCTTCTGGACTCACTGCCTCCTCCTTCTAGAACCCAGCACCTCCAAGGCTGGGAGAAGAGAAGTTTGGGGTCTATGGGAAATGACCTCTGGAAGTGGCTGTGACTGTTTCCAAACACAAATACAATCTAGATTCTCGAAACAATGCAAATGAACAAAAAATGTGAGTTTAGCAGTTAGTGAAACATTAAGATGAGATACAGGAGTAAACACATTTTTTTCCATAAAAGTAGTGGATGTTAAATAATGAAATACAGTGGTAAAACAATTACAGCCTGGAGGCTTTAAGATGTAAATCAAAAATGGAGACCAGTGGTGTTAATATCATATGAGAGGATTAAATATGAGCTGCTGGTCCAACTGTGTTCTGCAGGAATTCAGGCAGATGGATGAGAGACAGGCTATGAGTAAAGCATTACCACAGCTGGGGGTGCGGTGTATGGAAGCTCATCCTAGCTAGCACTTGGAGAAGAACTCACACATTGCAAACATATCCGGTTAAAAACTGGCATTTGCTGCAACTAAAAAAGGCAAGTGATGGTCTAGGTGAACTGCCTTTTCTTTCTCTCCTTCCAAAGGACAAAATTAATTTTTTTTTTTTTTTTTTGAGACGGAGTCTTGCTCTGTCACCCAGACTGGAGTGTAGTGGTGTGATCTCGGCTCACTGCAAGCTCTGCCTCCCAGGTTCACACCATTCTCCTGCCTCAGCCTCCCAAGTAGCTGGGACTACAGGTGCCCACCACCACGCCTGGCTAATTTTTAGTATTTTTTAGTAGAGACGGGGTTTCGCCATGTTAGCCAGGATGGTCTCAATCTCCTGACTTCGTGATGTGCCCGCCTTGGCCTCCCAAAGTGCTGGGATTACAGGTGTGAGCCACCGCACCCGGCCCCACAAAATTAAATTCTTAATTAAGGAAACTGTTTCTTTTACATCTATTTTTTCATCCCAAACTCAAATGCCAAATATTTAGCTATTATACATGTATTCATTTTCTTAGAATACACTCTATCCAGCTTGACATTTCTTTTAAATTTTCCCATTACATAATTAGATTCTTGATCCTCATTTATGTGATGTTTCCATCATGTGCTGGGTTTTATGCTCCAAATACATGTCCTTTCATACTTTAATGGACACAAATGTGCTTTATAAATATTTTGAAATCCATTTTAAGGTAATTTATTGAGTGAAAATTCTGTGCTCGGTATTTTATTGGGGTCAGTGGTGGGGTAGGAGAAGGAAAGGACATGGCTTTTGCCCTCCAAGGAAGTTGCAGGGAAACTGTCTCTGATTTCATTATCAAAGCGAGGCCCCTTTCTATTTCTCCATTTCAATACCTTTTCTACTGACTTCAGATCTATCAGATGTTATAATTATTTCCCACTTGTGTTTGTGTAACTGTGTTCTGACTATCCACACATTAGGTGTGGGCTCTGTGAAAGCAGGGACCATATTGATCCTGTTCAATGTCATACCATATCCCTAGCATAGAACTAGTAGAGGCATAACAAAGATCTGTGAAAAAGTAAATGCATGCATAACTCAGTTGATCAATTAATGTACATCACTTGGCAGAAGAATAAAAGGATCACGAGAGCAGATGAAAGAAGACTTTATATTTTGCAGAAGAAAATTTTCTGTGTCTTCAAATGATCACAAATATAATTAATAAAGTTGATGAGGCTTTCTTCAAAATGGTGCTTGTAGAAAAAGTGAGAGAAAGGCAAAACAAGAGAAATAATATGGATATTTAGCATTCTGGATGTTTGCTAAGTGACAATTAAACCATAAGAATACACTTCACAGGCCGGGAGTGGTGGCTCACACCTGTAATCCCAGCACTTTGGGAAGCTGAGGCAGGCGATCACGAGGTCAGGAGATCAAGACCATCCTGGCTAACATGGTGAAACCCCATCTCTACTAAAAATACAAAAACAAAATTAGCTGGGCGTGATGGTGGGCGCCTGTAGTCCCAGCTACTCAGGAGGCTGAGGCAGGAGAATGGCGTGAACCTGGGAGCTTGCAGTGAGCTGAGATCACGCCACTGCACTCCAGCCTGGGCAACAGAGCGAGACTCCGTCTCAAAAAAAAAAAAAAGAGTACATTTCACTCCATTGTCGAGAGAGAGAGAGATATATATATAAAATACATATTAAATTATGTGTGTGTATATATATATATCTTTTAAGACCAATTTTATTGAGATATAATTTATAGACAGTTAAAGTCACTCATGTTGTGTATAATACAATTAGAATTTTGACAGATGTGTACATACAGTTGTATAATTGGTGCCACAATCAAGATATAAAATATTTCCATTACCCATAAAAAGTTTCCTCAGTCCCTTTTGTGGCCAATGAATCCCCACCTTCCTGCAACCAATGGTTTTCTTTCAGAGACTATAGTTTTTTGTTTTCAAACTTTCTGTGAATAGAATATTACACTGTGTATTTGATAATTGTTTTCTTTCAATCAGCATGGTGTTTTTAAATTCATCTATGTTATGTATATTACTACTTCATCCTCTATTTTTGCTTAGTAGTATTCCTTTTCTAGCTAGAAAGTAGTATCAAGATACTAAAATATATTTGTTCATCACTTGTTGGTAGGCAACTATAAATAAATTTATTGCCATAAGCATGTGTATACAAGCTTTCTGTGAGCATATGTTTTCATTTTTCCTGTATAAATTTCTACAAGTGAGATTTTGGGGTCATATGGTAAATCAGTACCAAAGTATTTTCCAAAGTAATGTATTATTCTTCATTTTCATCAGCAATATGTGGGAGTTCTAGTTGTTCTACATCTTTACTAATATTTGGAATCATCAATCTTCTTAATTTTAGTCATTCTTTTTTTTTTTTTTTTTTTGAGATGGAGTCTCGCTTTGTCTCCCAGGCTGGAGTGCAATGGCACAATCTTGGCTTATTGCAACCTCTGCCTCTCAGGTTCAAGTGATTCTTCTGCCTCAGCCTCCCAAGTAGCTGGGATTACAGGCGCCTGCCACCACGCCTGGCTAATTTTTGTATTTTTAGTAGAGACAGGGTTTCACCATATTGGCCAGGCTGGTCTTGAACTCCTGACCTCATGATCCGCCCTCCTTGGCCTTCCAAAGTGCTGGGATTACAGGCATGAGCCACCGCGCCCGGCCTTGATGACGTCTCTCTTTCACTTTTGTTCCTGACAGTCCAGACTGCACAATTTCGGATGTGGGAGACTGGGTGATTTCTTTGATCTTCCCAACCAAATATGACTTACTTAAGGATTTTACCTGTAAAATACATTATTAAAGGTTAAGAGAAGGGTGACAATGGTGGCCTCCTTAGCTTAACTGAATGGTTATGGTTTTTAGTTGTAGTTGCAATCTTATGCTTGTGTGGTTCTTTGATTAGTGTTTGCTTTCTCTATCCTATACTATTAGCTTCATGAGAATAGGAAAATTATTCCTCTTTGAACTCACCATTGTATTCCCAATTCTAGCACAGCGCCTGGGATTTCCTCTGTATGTGTTTTTGAAATGCACCCAATAGATCCACAGACAGATTTTAAAAATATAAACATAGAAACAAATCCTTCTGGTCTTGAAGCTTGAAACTTACATTTGTTTTCTCTGAGTTTCTTCCTCAGGAAATGGACTCTCAGCTCTCTCAAAAAGTATCAAAGAAGTGAAATTCATCAGACCACTGTGTCGAGACAATGAGATGCCAGATGCCAGATTCCTTATTTGTCATGATTGCTTCCTTAGCCCTCCCTAGTTCCTGTTTTCCTGCTCATAGTTACATTTCTTCCTTGCTATATAATCCCCTAATTTCGGCTGGTTGAGGAGATGGAATTGAGACTGATATCCCATATCCTTAGCTGTAGCATGCAATTAAAGCCTTCTTCCTTGGCAATATTCATTGTCTAAGTGATTGGCTTTCTGTGTGCAAGTAACAGAACCTAGATTGAACTCCTGGTATTTCAGTAACATTTTGTGTGTAAGAAAGAGGCTGGAGGAAGGAGAGTAGGGGAAATAGGAAGAGTGTCTTAATATTTTTGTTGCTATAACAGAATACCACAGACTGAGTGATTTATAAAGAAAATAAATGTATTTAGCTCTGAGGCCTAGGAATGCCAAGAGCATGATGCTGGCCTCTGGAGAAGGCCTTCTTGCTGCCTAACAACATGGCAGGGGGCATCACATAGTGAGAGAGCAAGAGCAAAAGGGCTTATGATAAGGAACCCACTACTATGCTAGTGACATTAATCCATTCATGAGGGCAGGACTGACATAAATCTATTCATGAGAGAAGAGGGATTAAGTTTCCAATCTATGAACTTTTGGAGGATACATTCAAACCATAGCAGAAAGACAGACAGAGATAGATATGGAAAGAGGGAACAAGCACACATCACACATACAAAAACTGGACAATATTTTTGTAAATGAAATGCCTAGAGCCTCTCTCGTATATTGTATTTGTTGATATTTTCTCAATTTAAACTTATCACTCCATAATTTCTCTTTTTCTTCCCCAAAATGATGTACATGTTTCTTCCTTATAACCATAAAACACAGTAATTGTTTCCTGGAAAATTTTAAACGTCTCACTACAATTCAAGTATCATACTTACTATATGTTTTTTATCTTCTGTATATTTTGAAAATGTAAGAGCATTATTGTCTTATACAAAATAGGTGCTAGCAGAGTGAAGAGACAACCAAAAATAACTCAATAAGAAATGGACAAATGATCCAAATAGACATTTTTCAAAAGAAGACATACAGGCCAACAGGCATATAAAAAATGCTCAATATTACTAATCATTAGAGAAAGGCAAATTAAAAACACTTTGAGATATCACCCCATACGTGTTAGGATGGTTATTATAAAATGACAAAATATAACAAGTGTTGGAGAAGATTTGAAGGAAAGGCATCATGGAAAATAGCATGGAGGTTCCTTCAAAAATTAAAAATGAACTACCATATGAACCAGCAATCCCACTACTGGGTATATATCCAAAGGAAATGAAATCCGTATGTCGAAGAGATATCTGCAACACCATATACATTAAATCTTATTTATATATTAGCCCAAGATGTGGAAACAATGTAAGTGTCCATCAATGGATGGATGAATTTTAAAAAGTAGTATATATACACAATGAAATACTATTCAGCCATAAAAAATAATGAAATCTTGTTATTTGTGACAACATGGATGAACCTGGAGGACATTATGTTAAATGAAACAAGCCAGGCACAGAAAGACCATATGATTTCACTTTTATGTCGAATCTGAAAAAGCTAAACTCATAGAAGTAGAGAGTAGACTGGTGGTTACCAGGGGCTGGACTTGGGGTGGGGAGTGGGGATGTTTATCAAAGGATTCAAAATTTCATTTAGGAGAGGGGAAATATTCAAGAAGAGATCTACTGCACAACATGGTCACTATAGTTAATAACAACATATTGTATTTTTGAAAAAAAATGCAAAGAAACAAAGTAAGTATTAAATAAAAACTGGTTCTTTGAAGCTTTGGCACTGTAATATATGAAGGCCAGAAGCCACATTTATATAGTTCCGTTTCTTGAGCATCCAAGACAATAGATGAGATGACAGTGTTGAGGAAGACAGGTCACTCACTGCGAACACTAGATTCAGCTTCTCCCCCTGCTGTTTGACTCATTCTGCAGGTGAGAATTTATCTGAAGGAGTTTACATATTTTTATGTGACAATGTATTCCTGAGAAGATACCAAATTCTTTCTTCTACATCAAAAATACAGCATGAAACTGACAAGAGAGCACATAAATGATGATTTTTTTTTAAGTTTCCAGGAATATCACATGTATCATATTACTGAAAAGAAAAAGAGCATTTTATGCCATGAAAAACTTTGGATATCCTTGAATAATGTTGACTAAAAACAGTGAGTTTATTTAGTATTCATTGTGTCTATATTTGGAGTGTATATTTTTAGTATTTGTCATCTTGCTTATCAAACTCCTGAATCTCACTTAAAAAGTATTTTCCAAAGTTTTTGAAATTTCTCCACAAAAGAAGAAAAAACAAAAAAGCAAGTATTGGAAGTCAAATAGGTTTGAGAAATATTATGACACATGTCCTTCTTGCACATCATAAAGCCTCTAACACTTTTCATAGTAAACCAATAAATGAAACTCAGACTTCTTGCTTTGCTTAATCAAAAAATTAAAGTTTTCCAAACTTCTTTGACTACAGAATCTTTTGACAACACAATATTGATCACTGCACACTTTGAGAGATATTACTCTACAAAAGTCACTGCACAGCACCACTAAAATATGGTGACTGATAAAACGGACAAAGGTCATTCAGTGAAAGTTTCAAAGCAAAGAGAATGAATGAATATATATATATATATATATATATATATATATATATATATATATATGGATGTCTACTTTTTGGATTACAGTTTTCAGATTATGTTTGTTTTAAATAAGCCAGTCTGCTTTCATAATAATTATACTTTTAAGCCATTTTCTGATGAGACATTTGTCATCATGAGAACAATGTAGTAAAAGTTTGTTACACTGGGGATTAAGATATTAGAGTTTCCATTCAAGATTCCCTAATACTGGAAGAGGTTCACTTAAATTCCATGATTCTATGAGAGGAGTCAAATCTGAGGTGCAGGCTCTGCACCTTCCCAGGCCTGCAGGGGCTTTGCACCTTCTTGCGGAACAGTTGCCAGCTGTTATCGCTTCACTCTTAGGTCACTGCCTTCAGTCAAGTCTTTTTTTTTTTTTTTTTTTTTTTAGACAGAATTTCGCTCTTGTTGTCCAGGCTTGAGTGCAGTGGTGCAGTCTCGGCTCACTGCAACCTTCGCTTCCCGGGTTCAAGCAATTCTCCCGTCTCAGCCACCTGAGTAGCTGGGATTACAGGCACCCGCCACCAAGCCCAGCTCATTCTTTTTGTATTTTTAGTAGAGATGGGGTTTCATCATGTTGGCCAGGCTGGTCTTGAACTCCTGACCTTGGGTTATGCACCCACCTTGGCCTCCTAAAGTGTAGGGATTACAGGCGTGAGCCACCATGCCCGGCCCCAAGTCAAGTCTTTTTCACAGCCTTGGTTCACCATAAAACTAAGGTGGACAATTGTCATGGACAGAATTGTGTTGCCTCAAATTTATGTTGAAGTCCTCACCTCTAGTACCTCAGAATGGGGCTGTATTTGGAAAGAGGACCTATAAAGAGGTAATTGAGGTAAAATTAGGTTATATGGGTGGGCCCTAATCAGTAAGACTGATTTCCTTGTAAGACAAGGAGATGTGGACAGAGACCACACACAGACCACAGGACAATCATGTGAGGACACAGTAAGAAGGTGGCCATTGGCAAGGGAAGGAGAGAGGCCTCAGAAGAGACCAAATGTGCTGATTCCTTGATCTTGGACTTCCAGCCTCCAAAACTGTGAGAAAAGAAATTTTTTATGGCTGCATAGTATTCCATGGTGTATATGTGCCACATTTTCTTAAAAATGATGAGTTCATGTCCTTTGTAGGGACATGGATGAAATTGGAAATCATCATTCTCAGTAAACTATCGCAAGAACAAAAAACCAAACACCACATATTCTCACTCATAGGTGGGAATCGAACAGTGAGAACACATGGACATAGGAAGGGGAACATCACACTCTGGGGACTGTTGTGGGGTGGGGGAAGGGGGGAGGGATAGCATTGGGAGATATACCTAATGCTAGATGACGAGTTAGTGGGTGCAGCACACCAGCATGGCACAGGTATACATATGTAACTAACCTGCACATTGTGCACATGTACCCTAAAACTTAAAGTATAATAATAATAAATAAACAAAGAAAGAAAGAAAGAAAAAAAGAAATTTATGTTACTTAAGCCACTCAGTCTGTGGTATTTTGTTATGGCAGCCCTAGTAAACTAATACAAATATTTTTAGGGACAACAAACCATGGACTTTGTTATTCTAGTAAGATGACTTTAGCACTATTACCTACTTCTACCTTGAAGTGGTAAAAAAAGGCAGTGAGAAGCATTTCCATGGAGTGTATAAATCGTGTCCCGTGAAACAGAATTAGCTAATAAGGTTAACACCTGTCAGCTGTATATGATGCTGCGTCTCCAATCTCCATCCGGACAACAAAGGGGAAGGCATGGACAGGAGACCTGCCTTCAGAAGAGCAGCTGACAAAGGGGCCCACAGCCTGGGGATGGTGACGGCAGTAGCCCCCCGAGGCCTGGGATCCCACAGCACAATTGTGAAGGGAAAGTCTTACTTGTTGGGCCCAGATGTGTAATTTTCTCCCACCACTGTTTTTTTGTGAAAAATTCTTCTGAATACATAATTTTGCCCCTAAATAAACATGGTGTTGGACATTTTTCTGACTAGGAAGTTAGGATATTTGCTTTTCTAGCATCTTTATTAGGTGACTTTTTATGTTTGCAAAGTCACTCAGAAAAAACTTCATCCTCCCAACACCTCCCTGGACCACAGTCCCCACAAATGACATTGAACTCACAACATAAAGGAACTCACCACTAGGTAAATAGGTGCTTGACTGTGATTTAACACCTGAATTACTAAAATTGATGGCAATAATTATCCAAAGAAAAACAGCCAAGTGCAGCAGTAACGACAGCCTCTGAACTCTCTCCACATCTTCTTGTGGACAGCCTTTGAGCTCTCTCCATGTCTTCTCCGGGACAGCCTCTGAACTCTCTGCACGTCTTCTTGCAGACAGCGTCTGAGCTGTTTCCATGTCTTCTCCGGGACAGTCTCTGAGTTTCTGAGCTCTTTCCACGTCTTCTCCGGGACAGCCTCTGAACTCTCTCCACGTCTTCTCTGGGACAGCCTCTGAGCTCTCTCTTGTTTGGGACATCCTCTGAGCTCTCCACGTCTTCTCTGGGACAGCCTCTGAGCTCTTTCCACGTCTTCTCCGGGACAGCCTCTGAGCTGTCTCCACGTCTCCTCCAGGACAACCTCTGAGCTCCCTCCACATCTTCTCTGGGTCTCCTGTGGAGTCTGATCACCTTTCAGTTAAGGCATCTCCTGTGAGCAGCCCAGTTGGCTACTCTGAGTTCTGGGGGTAGCTGTCCTTGGTTTCTCTGAATTGCCCAGAAACCAACCTTTCTGTTGCCCATCGTAGTGCCTACGTGGCTTAGCTGGAGCCCTACCCTGCTTTTGTTGCCCAACCAATGCCTATGTGACAGAGCTAAATTCCCATTCAGCTTTAACTGCTTAGTTTTAGAAAACAGGATGTCTGGGGTCAGAAGTTCCTTCTTAGGACTAAACTGGCTGAAGCTGGCAAAATCCGCAATGGCAGCTTGACCTCTGAAAAACCTCTAGCTTCATTATGATCCAATTTCCATGCTAAACGACACTCCCACTGGCACCTTGACAGTTGACAATCACCATGACAATGGCCAGAAGAGACCAAAAACAGGCAGAAAAGAGGTGGCTCTTTGATTCCAAAAAAACCTACCTCCCTTCCCAAGAAAAGCTATGAATATTTCTCCCTTTCCTCTGTATACCAGCCCCTTCATTAAGAATCCTCAGTTCTCAGGCTCTGAGAAGTTGATTTGCAGGCTATGCTCCCACTTCTGCAATTCCATGGCCATTGAAAAAAGCCCACACTGTTTGATACTCACTCTTGGTTTGGTGTATTGGCTTCACACCAAACAAGAAAGAGCTCCTTTAGGGGTAGTCAGGACCCTGATTATATTCCCACATAGAAACTGTTCCCACTCACTACTGGCACAGCAGAACACATAAACTGTCAGATGGCTCCATTTCAATGATTTGACTTGTAATTCTCAATTGTTTCTGTTCCTAAGATTTTAGGACTTTCTATCAACTCATAAAAAAAATCTTTAAAAAGGTAAGGCAACCTTCAAATCTAAGATGCTCAGCTTTAAACTAGTAAGTTCTTAAGGATGTTTTTTTTCCTCCAAGGAAACAATTCTCCTCTTTGCTGAGCAATAATACAGGTTTTAATATTAAATAAGTACACAAAGTAAAAGAAACAGACAAAAATGTCTTCATAGCAAGGCTGTTAACAGATTTCTTTCTTTTTTTTTTATTTTTGAGATGGGGTCTCACTCTTGCCCAGGCGGGAGTGCAGTGGCACAATCTCAGCTCACTGCAACCTCTGCCTCCTCAGTTCAAGTGATTCTCCTGCCTCAGCCTCCCAAGTTGCTGGGATCACAGGTGCCTGCCATCACGCCCGGCTAATTTTTTTGTATTTTTAGTAGAGACGGGGTTTTGCCATGTTGGCCAGGCTGGTCTCAAACTGCTGACCTCAGGTGATCCGCCCACCTTGGCCTCCCAAAGTGCTGGGATTACAGGCATGAGCCACCGTGCCTGGCCAGATTTCTAATATACGTAAAGAAAAAAGAAAAATTTTCAAATACTTGTTTAGATAAGTACTGATATTTAAAAAAACAACCAAGCCTAAATCCCTAGATTTACAATTTTTAAAAAATAAGAAAAGCAATGTAATTCACAGAATAAAATCTTTTGGAGTAAAGTAATATAACTCTAACAAATTGGTAAATCTAGGCAAGAAATGACTTGCCCAAGTAACAGACCTAGTAGGTGGAGAGTTCATCTGACTCCAGAAACCACACTCTACAAAATAAACTTATTGACGTGAAGAATGTATATAATCTGTAACTGGTGTGAAACTGTGGCAGAAATACAAAGAGCCGTGGTCTTGCTCATGATGTTCAAAGGCAATAGTTGAACTGAGGGATGGCTGTGTGAATTGAAGTGGTCACTGGAGAAACGTGGTTGAGATTGTGAACCATGGGGAACAGGGGGTGGTAATTCCGGATTTTCGGCATAGAGGAGAAAGAAAGAACTGCAAACATCATTACAGTGAAGGAGGGTGAGGCCCTCCGAAAACTGATTGCTTTTCACCAGAAACACTGATCCAGTGGGGGCAGCTGAAGCACGAAAATGATTAGAACCAGAGTGATGTCACCCACTTTTCTTTCTTTCTTTCTTTCTTTTTCTTCTTTTTTTTTGAGACAGAGTCTTACAGTCTCGCTCTGTCTCCCAGGCTGGAGTGCAGTGGCGCGATCTCGGCTCACTGCAAGCTCCGCCTCCTGGGGTCACGTCATTCTCCTGCCTCAGGCTCCCGAGTAGCTGGGACCACAGGCTCCCCCACCATGTCCGGCAAATTTTTTTGTATTTTTAGTAGAGAGGGGGTTTCACCGTGTTAGCCAGGATGGTCTCGATCCCCTGATCTTGTGATCTGCCCGCCTCGACCTCCCAAGGTGCTGAGATTACAGGCGTGAGCCACCGTGCCTGGCCGATGTCACCCACGTTTCTTAGGAAAGACGTTAGCATCCTCTAAATCCTCACCGACTGTGCCTGGCGCAGCATTATTTTGCAGTTTTCTGGGATTTACAGTTGGCATCATTTGCACAGCGGCAGCGTGACGTGGCTGTGGAGAGCACGGAAGCTCTGTCCCCACGGAAGTGGGCTCTTCTGGTTGCAACATGGTGGAGGCCAGCCCGGCCGCAGGTGAGGGAAGATGCCACAGCAAACCTCTGAGCAACCAAGATGACAAGCACCTGCTTGGAAAAGGTGACAAGCCACAAGGCCATAGGCCCAGTTATAAGGATGAATTGTGTTACACGAATGGTTATAAACCTGACCGACCTCAGAAGGTATATGGAGGAGGCAATTATCAAGCCCCTTGATGGTCTGTGGCTGGATGCACCATACTTTGCCAACGGTGTGAGCATGGCAGAGAATGTAGGTGTGTATATAGGGGAAAACCTCCAGAAAGTTTTTTCTGTGGGAGTTCTTTGTAAAATAATAACAATGCAACTGGAATTATATTGCAATCTATAAAGGGAAATCACTCTTAGGGATCAACATTGTAGAAAGACAACTTGTTTTTTGCTTCTTTGCTCAGTGTTAAGAAGTCATCACATCATTGTCACCCTCCCCACATTCTGTTCTGTAGTGCCCGATTTGTTGAAAGCAGTATGAGGCCTGTTTTAAACATAAATCTATTCTAAATCTAAATTTGTAATACATTCTGAATGTCATTTAGACAGTCTTTTGCCTGGAGATTAAAAATTACTTTATTTCTAGCAAAGTGCTCTGACGTAAAATATTTTAACAACAAAGAAGATCTGTGTTTGTTGTTTTCTCCATTATCTAATTATTGATATCCATTTCATCTGGGCACATATAAATGGTAAAAATATTTACAAGCTTTGAATTAGGTGAATCTAATTAAAAATAAATTATAGATGTTAATAGAGCCTGGAAATATTGTCAATATCTTTTTAATAGATTGAGCCCCGTTGATTATTTCTTCTGGGGTAAAGGCTCAAATTTATTCTGTGAAATTAGACACTCAAATCATCTGAGGCAATATATGGCAGATGAATATACACTGATTGATGGAAATGTTGCTTTAATGCACATTGTTCATTGCAATTTTGCGTAGATTACTGAACTATGAATTACTATTGAGGAACAGCACATTCAACGTGTCATAGCAATCAACTATTTAGTATGGACATTTTCTATGTTTCTAGATTTTCTGGCCACTCTGAGCAAATTTAAATCAAATGACTGAAGTATAATCACTTATTTTAACTCTGTTAAAACAGTCAACTTGAAAAGTATATTTTTCTGTATGAATTTTTTTTTCTAATTGACTCTATTTTGTTCTGATAACTAAACTTATTTAAGTTGCGCTGTTGAAAAAATCTATAGGCCAAGCGCGGTGGCCCATGCCTGTAATCCCAGCACTTTGGGAGGCCGAGGAGGGTGGATCACGTGGTCAAGAGATCCAGACCATCCGGGCTAACACAGTGAAACCCTCTCTCTACTAAAAAAAAAAATACAAAAAAATTAGCCAGTCATGGTTGCTGGCGCCTGTAGTCCCAGCTATTCAGGAGGCTGAGGCAGGAGAACGGTGTGAACCCAGGAGGCTGAGCTTGCAGTGAGCCAAGATCATGCCACTGCACTCCAGCCTGGGTGACAGGGCAAGACTCTGTCTCAAAAAAAAAAAAAAAAACAAAAACAAAAACAAAACTATATATATATGTATATGTATAATCTGAAGATCCATGTCGATTCCATTATTTTACGATGCAGTGACATTATAAGGAAGTGGAAAAATTAAGTTAAAATTTTTTAATTATGATGAATATAGAAAGGGGATTTCTTGTTGAAACAAATAGGCTAAAAGAGCCTTGATGTCAGCTATGCCTCTCTTAGAGAAAAGACTGTGACCCTGTCATCCCGTTGGATAATCTAGTGATATGCTTTAACAGCTATTGTTAAAATAGATTTTACCAAGGCAAGAACAACAGTTTGCTTATGAGCAATGAGAAGTAAGTAGTCTTACCAGAGTGCACCCTTTGGAAAGTGCTGCGTATATAATTAGTGAGGCCATTCATAATTCATTTTTATTATACAAATGCTGATTAAATGTATACCTTCTTCCACTCAAATGTTAACGTGTCCCTTCCTCAATATATTTTATTAGGCTATGTATATATCTCAAGCATAGATTAATTTGTTTTGTAAGATTTCAAAACATTCCTTTTTTAGCCCTGTAATGAATATAAAATGGATCCCTACTGCCCATCTTAGAGAATGCGTGTTTCATAGAACTGTTTAAAAAATAAATCCTTTTAAATTGCCCATCTGCTTAAGCTATGTTTGTGGAACATTAGGACTAAGTCATGTCTGACAAACATGTGTCATACTACTATTTGAGGGCATTACTGCATTTTAAGGAATAAAATAATATTATTAAGAAGTATAATTTTTCCAAGTGATACAATAAGAATATTGCTAGAGATTTGACCTATTTGTGAAAAATCTTTGCATGATTATTAGCTTGCTAAAAATAAAATGAACTCTGCAAACGTGATCCAAGCTGTTCTGTATGAAATTATGTGCTAGTTGCACAGTCCCCTGGGAGACCAGTGTGAGTCCAGATGCCTCTTTGCTGGTTTGTTTCATTTCTGGGGTTCATTTTCTAGAGGTTTTTATCATATTTTCAAAGTACAGAAGTCAGGCATCTCAAATTCAAGTCTTGTCTCCCCCAAACTTTAAAAAATATATGACATTGATGTAATTTGGCTGGATAATAACAAACTGAACAAATAAGATATTTTCTTTCATTGAAGGTTGGTAACATTTTCTTCACTTAAAAATTTTTGGTTGGGCACAGTGGCTCATGCCTATAATCTCAGCACTTTGGGAGGCCGAGGCGGGTGGATCACCGGAGGTCAGGAGTTCGAGTCCAGCTGGCCAACATGGTGAAACCCTGTCTCTACTAAAAATACAAAAATTAGCCGAGCATGGTAGTGCACACCTATAATCCCAGCTACTCAGGAGGCTGAAGCAGGAGAATCTCTTGAACTCCAGAGGCGGAGGTTGCAGTGAGCCAAGATTATCCCACTGGACTCCAGCCTGGGCGACAGAGCAAGACTCCATCTCAAAAAATAATTTAAAAAAATGAATTTTCTAAATTGTGGGTCAGAATTCAAGCTAATGGAAACCTGTGGAAGAAAGAATTTTGCAGGTCTGCCTGTGGAATCCATAATTCTTTTCAGAGGCAGCGCTATTACAAAAAAAAAAAAAAAGTGTGAGGATGTCCCCAAGCAGAAAACCGCCTTCACTGCAATGCTGACAGTATCTGGGTGTCCCAGGGTTCCTGGGGAGTGCAACTGATATCCCGGCTGTGCTGCTACTGTGCTGAGTGGTTTTATATCCACTGAGAAGGACGTGTCAACAGGTGGCTGCTCAGGCCCCTAAAGAATGGATGGATGTGAGGTCTCTGTGAAGCCTCTGGGCCAGATCTCTGAGGAGTATCTGTGAGGGGCATCTCACCTATGGTGAAGACGCTGTGTGAGCGCTGCATGGGAGGCCTCAGTGCCAGGCTCCTGGTGAGAACTCTGAGTGAGGTCTCTGTGGAGCCTCAGTTTGAGGTTTCTGCGTGAGTTCTGTGTGGAAAGTCTCTAAGAAATCCGAGTCAGTTTCTGTACGAGGCCTGTGAGGCCACATGAGGTCTCTGTGGGAGGACTCCATGGGGCAGCAAGAGGGCTCCATTGCCCCTTGTGAGGCCTCTGTATGAGGCCTTTGCAGAAGGTCTGTGTGGGAGGTATCTTCCAGAGGTCTCTGTGGGGTCTCTGTGGGAAGTCCCTGTGTGAAATCTCCGTGCTAGGTCTCTGTGTGAGGGACCATGGACTATATGAAGTCCCTGTGTGAGGACCCTGTGTGAGGACCCTGTGAAAGCCCTACAGAATCTCTGTGTGGAATGTTTGAGGGAATTCTATGTGAGAGGTTTCTGGGCAATGAGTGTGGAGCAACCTGAGGCCTGTGTGAGGAATCTATACAAGGTCTCTGTGGAGAGTGGGAGGTCTCCAGGCAAGGTCTCTGTGTGAGGAGGACTCTGAGAGAGGTCTCTGTGAGGCAGTGGGGGGTGCCGTGTGCCATTTCTGGGGCTGGAGGCCGGAGGTTGCAGTGAGCTGCATGAGTCTCTGCATGAGGTCCCTGTTTTATGACTCTGTGTGAAGTCTCTGAGGTCTTTGTGGGGTCTCTGTGTGAGATCTCCCTGTGAGAACCATGGAAGGTCTCTGACATTTGCGGGAGGTCTCTGTGGGACTGAGTGAAGTCTCTCAGCGTGGCCTCTGTGGGGTTCTCTGGGTGAGGACTCTGGGAATCTCTGTGCTAGGTCTCTGTGGGGCACCATGAGGACTCTGAGAGCTCCGTGGGGTCTCTGTGGAGGCTACAGTGTGTCTCTCTCCGTGGCAGTGAGAGGTCCCAGTGTGCTCACTCTGTACGAGATATCTCTGTGAGGTTCCTGTGGGAGGTCTCCGTGGGTCTCTCCATTGCTGGCCTCGCTGCATGTCATGGGAGACTGAGCTGCAGAAGGGCTAAGGGGTTGTTGCTTCCTGTGTTCTTGCTGGTCTCTCAGCGTTGCCTGTGGCGCTTCTCCTGGCCTGAGCCATGGGCTCCACGTCCAGCTCCTCCACATCCCAGAACTCGCGTCTTGGTTTCCTGAGGGAACCCAGCAGCAGCCAGGCATGGCCCATCCTCAGTGGTCAGGGTCCCAGCTCTGTGCCACACTCTCCTGAGCTCCCGGAGGACCGGGGCTGCTCTCTGCTCCAGGTCCCAGCTCCTCCTGCTGATCCTGGCTCCGCTGTCACCGCTGGGCCCACCTTGGAGGCTGCTTCAGTTATCCGGGCCCCAGAGAGGACCTGGCCCCAGGAGAAGCCACAGGCTGGGGACTGTGCCCACTGCCCCCTGCACCCCGGTGCCGGCCAGTCCCACATGTTGGGGGCAGGGCCATTTCCATTGTCATCTAGATCAGTGGCACTGCCTGGCACTGGCCTCTCCACCATTGAAATGAGGCCCCCGGAAGTGGGCTTCTTGCACGCCTGTATGTGGCACAAGGCAGAGAAAACTCCCTCTAGAGACCTGGCTCCTCCTGTCCATGATTTGTGGAGACCTCCTGCTTTCCCATATGGACAGGGCCCAGAGAGGAGGAAAGCTGTGCTGAAAGCAGAGGGAGACAGCAGGGATGGCTCCTGTCCTGCCCATACCCTGCCCATTCTGGACAGGTCACTTCCAGCTCCCTTGTATGTTCAAATCCTGCCTGCCTGCATCTTCCCTTGCTGGTCTCTGGGACAAGCAAGGATGTCAGGAGCCAGGGGAGATTTGCTGTGTGACCCCAGCTCAGCTGCTGGGCCCTTGTAAGTCGCCACCTTTCCCCAGGGAGCAGTCCTGGGGCTACGTGTATATTAAAGGTCACCAGACTTCGACTCATGCCTGGGGTTCTCTAGTCCTTGCTTTTCCACCTATTGTCAACACATCCTTTAAAAAATTCAATAGGTAGGCCAGGCGCCATGGCTCATGCCTGTAATCCTAGCTCTTTGGGAGGCTGAGGCCAGTAGATCACCTGAGGCAAGGAGTTCGAGGCCAGCCTGGCCAACATAGCAAAACTCCGTCTCTACTAAAAATATAAAAATTAGTCGGGCATGGTGGTGGGTGCCTATCATCTCAGCCACTTGGGAGGCTGAGGCAGAAGAATCGCTTGAACCCAGGGGCCGGAGTTTGCAGTGAGCCAAGATTGCACTACTTCCCTCCAGCCTGGGCAAAACAGTGAAACTCTGTCTCAAAAAAAAAAAAAGTTCAATAGATTATTATGTGCAAGCTTATCGAAGATGTTAAGAAATTCATCTTCCTTATTCACTTTGCCTTCTCACTAATATGGCCCTCTGTGTTGGGGGTAAATGTGGTTTTTCTAGGGGTCTGTGATCTGGGAGCTGGAGCAGAGACAGACCCTGGGGTGTGGCCAGGATGAGACACTAGGCCCCTCTAGGCCTGTCTAAGGGGTTGGAATGTCAGAGTCTCCTGGCTCACGGCACCACTGATGGCTCCCTCACACACGCCACTTTGCCTCCTTTTCAATTCTCTGTCTGCATCCCCTGTAGCTCTACAGAGTCCCACCATCAGAAGCCTCTGCATACACAGGCATACCCTACTCCATTCACCCAGAACTACTTCACTGAAGCTGAGAGACATGTAGGTGAGATAGACAAAGGCCGGTGACCCAGGAGCAGGGTCATTCATTCATCTGGGGCAGGGGAGTTCACGGCCCTCAGCAACCTCCATAAAGGCTGCCCCCCTGACCCCCTAGCCCCCACCTACACATGCACAGAGCTGGAAGGTCTGTCCCCACTGCCACTCCAGAGTGCGAGAAAGGGAGAGGCAGTGGGATGGGGACTCTCTGCTTTGCATGTTGGCTGAGCTAAGAGAGCCCATCTCCATCCCAGCCTTTGTCAGGGAGAGAAGGGGCTTCCCAGGGGCAGACGTTATCTATTCTCCACCAGGATACCCAGGGTCAAGACTTCTCCCACTTCTAAACTCAGGGCCCAGCACTCTCCCACCCAAACTTCCACTATTTTGTGACACATGAAGGTACTCGGCTGTGGCACTTCCTGGAGCCTGCATGGAGATGTTCAGTCCCGTGACATCTCTGCAAACCTTCTCCCTACAGTTGCATGAAGTTTGAGGTAGAGTAAGTAGTGGAAAGATGGGTTGAACCTTATTTCAGAGTGGGACCTTCATAGGTTTTTCTCATCTTGTTTTTAGAATTTTTTGTTGTTTGTGTAAAGACGGTATTACGGAAACATAAGGTTCAGTGAAGGAACTCAGGATGAAGGTGGGCTTACAGCACCACTGTCAACATCCCTCCATGTCCTGTCGCTTCTGGAAACCAAGCCCACACCAAGCATGGCACAAATAAAAGCCATCACCCTCTTATGAATAAAAAACCATATATATTGTGGAATATTAAATGTTCTGCATGTACTAACATGAGAGAAAATATTTTTTCTCTACATAGAGTGAATTTTTTCTTGGGGACTTGTTTTTCTCCAGGGAAGGCTAAAAAAGAATTTGTGACTGACCAAATCAGATACCTTCCCAAAGAAGACAGTGCCTTGGACAGTGGTGATGGTGGCTAGAGGCACCGGATGTCTTCGGCCAGTGCTGAGGGGGACTGACTGGGGATACAGCTTTCTTGGGGTGCAAGATTTGGGGATGTCGCAGGCCCCATTGCTCATTGTTGCACCGCACACTTTTCAAGGGCTGTTGATTTCTGATTTGTCTGTCTCTGTTGGGACAACCCTGGCTCTTGAGAGTGGCTTGTTGACTGCTGGCTGCATAGCTCAGTATTCTGCCGTGTTCTGAGTAGAAGAGGTGCCTGTGGTTGCAGGGAAACCCACAGACTGGGGCTTGAAACTTCTGTTTGTGCTGATTTACCTTCGAGGCATGGCGCGCATGGCAAAGTGACATTTTCTCGTCCAGCATTTGTCCAACTGCCGTCATGAGACCCTGAGCTTCAGCACTGCTGCTGTACACACATGATCTGTTTTTTACTGTTTTTTGGCTCTCAGCAGTGACTGGTGCTGGCTTGCTTTTTTTCTTTGAAAAAATCCACTGAAAAATTTGCTTGATGTTTTCTCCAAAGGGGCTTACTGAAGGAGGCTGTTTCTTTGATGGCAGTAGCTGGACGCCTTCATCCTGATGGGTGTCTTCTGTTTTCCTGACTGGGGTAAGTTGAGGAGTCCTCAATCCTTCAAGCCTTTCTTCATGTTTTTCTAAGTTGGGCTTCCTAAACTTCTCACTCTTGTGAATAGGGGGAAACATTGGCCTTTGGCTCTTGCATGAGCCTTGACAGTTTGGTTTTCTGGGCTCCTCGTGCACCAGTTTGCTCCTTCTGGCTGCCATGAGGTCATGTAGCTCCTGGGAAGCCCGCATGTTCCCAGTAGGCATGCTCTGGAGATGGCCCTGGGGCACTTGAGAAACCAAATTCTCTGAAGCGTGGGGCACAACAGATGCTTGCCCATCTGGAAGGAGCACAACAGCGGCACAAACTTGAGGCTGGGTCTCTGACTTTGTGGCCATTCCAGGCTCAAATTCACTAACAACCTCCTCCATAAGACACAGCTTTCTTGGATCTTGGGAGACAGACACTCTAGGGTGTAGAGAGCTTTTGCTGGTCCCTGGAGCCTCGAAACCATGCACATCCTCACTTGTGGCTTGGAGGTTTGCCAGCATACAGGTTTCCAAGGGGACTCTGCATTGTGGCACTGCCTCCCTTGTCTCTCCAGCCTTTGAAGATTGGGCTCCTAAGCTCCTGCTCTGCTGGGTGCTGCCTGTGAGGCTGTACGTGAGGGGCTTAGATGGCCACCTGCCCTCCTGTCCAGCTGGAGGAGGCTTCAAGGGTTCATGATCATTCCAAGATGGGATTCCTCGCGGTGCCCTCTGGAACTGCTTCCATGCAGGTGAGGAGGCCAGAAGACTCTCTGGCATGTGATCAGATGCTTTGGTCAGCACCTGCTTTCTCAGACTTGCCATTGGTGGCTTTCTAAGGAACATGTCCACCTCAACTTCTGAGCCAGCCCCAGATTCACAGGTGGCTGAGGAGGGACCAGCAAGCTGTGTAAGGGACAAGGATGAAACCTTTTCCAGTTTAAAGCACTGAATGGGCTTGAGGACCCTGAGGGGTAGACCCCACCTGTGTTTGGCCCAAAACCTCACAATATGGGCTCCCAACCCCTGCTGAGTACACGGCTCGAGGAAGGAAAGCACCTGGGCTGTGTTCACACAGGCTTTCCCACTTTTCGGGGCTGCTAGATTGCTGGTTTTCACATGGGTGTTGGACACGGGAAGAGCCTGGTTGACAGCAAGCCAGGATCGACGCACACGCACGGGGATCAAGCCCTCGTTGGTCTGGCCCAAGTTCCTGCCCATGTGGGCTTTCAGGATGTTTTCTATATGAGTCCTCTCTGTGCATCTTAATAAATCACTTCCCGAGTCACTCCTCAAGGGCTTCCTCAAGTTCCTTTCCAACTCCTCAGAAGTCACCCCCAGAACCTTCCGTGGGAAGCTTTTCATATCCCTGGATAGATTTTGTGGGGTCTCACCCAGAATTTGCCCCAGATGTGGGCACGGGTCCCTCTCTAGCTGGAACTTCACCTTCTGTGCCTCCTTGCTGCTTTCACCTGTGGACATGGAGGACTGCCAGGGACTGGGTTTGCCCTTGGCCTGACTTGTCCCTGGTGATTCGTCCTGAAGCTGCATCAGATCCAGAGACTCTTGGATCCTTCCCAGGTTGCCCCAGTGTTGGATGATCCACTTTTTTATGTGTTGCTCCAGTTGTCTCCGGAGTTCAGGACTGACTGGAAAGTTCTCAGGCAGAATGGATGTCAAACTTTCCTGGGGAAGGTTAGGAGTGGAGACACTAAAGACGTCCTGAGATTTTTGGACCCTAGAGGGTAAAGCCAACCTACCTTCTAGTTGTCTCCTCAACAAAGGCCATTCAGGGTGCTGAGTTTCAGGTAGGGAGAGAGCTTGCACTTTATTCTGCGATGCAGGGCAAGCTACTCCAGTGTTCTGAATCAGGGATGGAAAAGCAGGAGATAGGACTGGGAAAGAAGATTGAAGATGGGCCTGAGCCTCGGCCTGAGCCATAGGTGTGGGCCGGAATTGGGGTGTGGATGAAATAAAGGGTTGGCACTCGGGCCCCAGATGGGACAGGGGCTGGGCCTGGAAAAGCAGTGGGGACATTGTAGTCTCCCTTTGAATTGGGCAGACATTGGACATTTCATTGAACAAGAAAGGAGGAGACTGTAAAGTATAAGACCTGTCAGTTACCCAGGCGTTAGCCACCAGGGACTCGCTGTGCAGAGAGGGGAGGCCCCAGAAAAGCTGGCTATAATTCTTCCAAAAACTTTCCTGCCAGAGCCTAGGATCTGAGAGCTTCTGAGGTCCGGGCAGCTGTTTCGAGTTCTCTCCCATGTTCCAGAAGGGTTTTGGGTTTGTGGTGTCCTGCTCAGCATCCAATGATTTAGCCAAATTCCGCAAAGAATTTAAGTGCTTTTCTGGGGTCATTCGATTTGTAAATGATCCAACATTTTCTTTTTCTTCCCAAATGTTGACCTTGGCTGTTTCTGTGACTTGTATCCCCACGACATTCTGGCCATCAGAGCTGAGCAAAAACAGGCTACCAGCTTCCATCTGACAGGTCTCTGGTGGGTGGCGGGAAAGATGATCTTGCTGGACTGATGAGTTAAAGGCGCACGAGGTTCTGGCAGTCTCCTGCCACCGGGAGGAGGCAGAAACATGACTGTTTGAGCCACCAAGGCCTGAGATGGCTGGGACAGAAGCCACCAAATCCTCATGTGGAGACAAGCTTTGAGGGACGGTGCCCAGTGGAAGTGCCACTGAGTCACAGTGAGATGGAGTTATCAGTGTGGAGTCCCGCAGGGGAGGAGCAGTGAAGCCTTTTGGAGGAGGCAGAGAGCAGGCCAGAGGATCAGGGGTGTGTGGTGGGTGAGGGAAAAGTGCAGGTGGCTCGGGTGAGGGGTGTTCTAGGGGAAGGGAAGGTTCTGGTGGCTGGGAGGCACTTAGGGAGGAGACTGAGGTGGTCATTGGGCCTGGTGATGGGGTGGAGGCCAGATCCTGAGGATGCTTGGCTTGAGGATCCGGGGAAGCTAACAGGGAGAGAATGGGAGCAGCATCTTCCATAGGCTCATGAGAGGACTGGGAGGCTCCATCAGGTGCTCTTTCGCCCACCTCACCTGGGGGGTCTGGACCGGAGAGCTGACCAAAGTCACCTTTGTCAAGGTGTGGCCCCAGGAGGCTGCAGGAGACAGGAGGCACGAGCTGCAGCCAGGAGCCGGTGGGGCCGGAGGGCAGAGTGGGTGCTCGGGCCACAGCCCCTCCACCACCCCACACCCTGATTGCCCAATTCTCCTGCTACCCCTCGCCCCAGGGTTTTACTCCCATCCTCTGTACCCCTGGTCTCCCCATCCCAGGTCAGCTCCAGGCTGCCTGTGGCCCTGGGGTCACGTCCCAGCCCTGGTAGGAAGGATGCAGGGAAGGGGAAGTGCCTCACCTCTGCAGTTGTGAAAGCAGGTCCGAAGTCTCCTCCAGGCCTCTCCGGCACTCTCTACCAGCTGGAAATCAGGAGACTGGGTTAGGGCAGTGAGGGAGGGGCCTGGGTTCTCACAGGAGGCTGAGTGGCTGTTTCTTTAGGGAGGACCATGGGGAATTAGACCCTGGACCCCACCCATCTGTGTCCAAAGCCACATGACCCCGACGTTAATAGCAAGGCATGGAGGACAGGGCTTTTTCATTCACAAAGGGCTTCCACACACGGACCCCCCACCCCCACAGTCCTCACAACTGCCCTGTGGGGAGAAAGGACTGAGGTGGTCTCAAAGAGGAATCAGCCTTAGCAGAGTTGGACAGCTGTTCCCAGGGAGCGGGAGGCCCCCTCACCCCCCTCCGCATCCAGGCAGGCATTGGTCTCCCCAGGACACACACACTGCCCCCTGCTGGGTAACGCCCAGTCCCTGGCCCACCATGGCTTCATTCCCGCATGGAATCTGAGAAGGACCCGGGGTTCTGATTTCCTTCCTAGGAGCCCCCACCTCAGGCTTCTTCAACTGACTTCTTCAGAGTCAGTTCCCTTCGGGACAGATGAGATCAAATTAACCCTAGTGTGCTCTGGCAGAGCCTTACCTCTCAGACTGTGGTTTTTCATCCTGCCTCTGGGCCTCCGCCTCCGCCCTACTGGACACTGGGAGACACGATGACGTACGGAGACAAGATGACGCGGAGAGACAAGATGACAATGGGAGACAAGAAAGGGTAAGAAGCTAGGACCGGCTCTCCCTCTCTGCCCCAGCCCAGCCGCAGCATGCTGCACTCAGGAACCGCATGGCTCTCTCTGTCTTGCTCAGGGAGCTCTGTGTGCTTCCTCCCACTCTTGTTTAAATGGATGATAAACTGCTTTTCTTCTTAGAAAAACAGCAAGAGGGGGCTGGGCGTGGTGGCTCACGCCTATAATCCAAGCACTTTGGGAGGCCAAGGTGGGTTGATCACCTGAGGTCAGGAGTTTGAGACCAGCCTGGCCATGGTGAAACCCCGTGTCTACTAAAAATACAAAAATTAGGCAGGCATGGTGGTGGGCGCCTGTAATCCCCAGCTATTCAGGACTCTAAGACAGGAGAATCGCTTGAACTCAGGAAGCAGAGGTTGCAGTGAGCCGATATCACTCCATTTCACTGCAACCTGCACCACAGAGCGAGACTCCATCTCAAAAAATAAAATAAAATAAAATAAAATAAAATAAAATAAAATAAAATAAAATAAAAATAACACACACAAATAAAATAAAAATACACACACACACACACACACACACACACACACACAGAGGGATTTTCAATATGAGGTCCACCACGGACACCTTCAGTCCCTGTTCCTCTGCTCCAGGAACACCCAAGTTCAGGCCCGCAGGCACTGCTGAGCTATCAGGTAGGATTCTGCTTCCCAGGAGACCAGAGGAGACACCAGGCCCTGGTGGGAGGCCCTCAGGGGCCCAGCACAGGCCCCAGATCACCCCACACAGGGGAGGCTGGGCCCTGAGCCACCTGCACCAGAAAGGGGCTGATGAGCCAGGGCTCAGGGCCTGGTCTCGGACAGAGACCTCCCCAGTCTCATGACTGGTACTGGTGCTGAGTCCACTGGTTTGATTTTGCCTTGATGCCTCCTGTGCTCCCCCACAGATGGACTGAGAGCTTGGGATGGAAATCCCAGTACACTATCTACCCCTACCAACCCCTGGCTGCCCTGCCTCTCCCTGGAAGGATGATGTTCTGGTCTCTTCTGAGACTTCCCATCATAGAAGGCTCTCCACTGGATTTGGAAAAGTGGAACTAATAATAAAAAGAAAGGAGAGAATCAAGCTCTGTGGGTTGGGACTGAGGGTTCCTTACCTTTCTCTTCCCAGGCGATGGTGAGGGTGGGTCATCACAACGGAAGTAAGATAAGTAGGGGAGTAATAGGAAGAAGAACCCCAGGGCAAACACCAAAGTGAGGAAGATATCCAACACCCATGGTGTGGAACTGGGGGCGTTTAGCGATGAGGCACTAAGTAATTTTAAAGGAAAGGGAAGATTCTCCATGTGAATAGGCGCGTTGCTTTCAAGCAACTGAGCTCTGGGCATCCCCGTGGGGACTAGGGACTGGGGCCCAGGCCTGCGTCACAGAGGTGGGGCCTTGATGTCACAAAGGGCTCCTTTGTTGGGGAGGGGCAGTGGGAGGGGGAGGCGCAGAGGGAGGGGGAGGTGCAGCAGGAGGGGGAGAGGGAGGGAGAGGGGCAGGGGAGGGGGAGACTGAAGCACAGCCCCTCCCTACCCCCCAAGCTGGGGATCCCTCCACCATCCCACCTTCTAGATCCCTCCTTCCCACTAAGTTTTGTCAGTGATAGCCAATTTTCTATTCTTTCTCCCTGGAATATAGATATTACCTGGTTCCTTTTATCTGTTGGAGACGGTGGCTTGAGGTTACCTATTTTATAGCCCTTGAAAATCTGAAGTTCTGAAATTTTGGCTATGTACCAGGGATTTTTATTCTCAGAATCTCGTTCATCCTCAACTCCAGCTTTTCCACACTATGTTTTTGTCTTGTATCAATCCAGGGACAAAATGTAAATTTCTTTTACTCTTATTTAGTTTTGCAAATTTTGAATAGTAAGTTTTAAAAAATTATTTCTATCTCACTTTCAATCAAAGGGAACTACCCACATACAATTAAGATTTTTTTTTTTGTCTTTTAAAATTTTATTTATGTACTTATGTATTTATTTTATTTTAACTTTCGGGATACATGTGCAGGACATGCAGTTTTCTTACATAGGCAAATATGTACCATGGTGATTTGCTGCACCTATCAACCCATCACTTAGGTATTAAACCCAGCATGCATTAGCTATTTTTCCTGATGCTCTCCCTACCACCGGCCCTCCCTCGACAGGTGCCAGGGTGTGTTGTTTCCCTCCCAGTGTCCATATGTTCTCATTGTTCGGCTCCCACTTGTAAGTGAGAACATGTGGTATTTGGTTTTCTGTTCCTGTGTTAGTTTGCTGAGGATAATGGCTTCCAGCTTCATCCATGTCCCCGCAAAGGACTTGATCTCATTCCTTTTTATGGCTGCATAGTATTCCATGGTGTATATGTACCACATTTTATTTATCCAGTCTATCATTGGTGGGCATTGGGTTGATTCCATGTCTTTGCTATTGGGAACAGTGCTGCAATAAACATACACGTGCATGTATCTTTGTAATAGAATGATTTATATTCCTTTGGATATGCAATAATGGTATATCTGCCACAGCCTCTGTACTGCACTGTGGGGAATTCTGCCCAGCGCAAACCACCCAGTCTCCCTAGCACTGGTGGGGGAAAACCACCGGCTAGACCCGCAGTAATGGTGGTCACCCTTCCCCCCAGGAACTTGGTCTTCTTAGGCAGACTCCAAGTGCTGTGCTAGCCAGTGGGGATTCCATGCCAGTGGGTCTTAGCTTGTGGGGTTCTGTGGGAGTGGGTCTGCTTGGCTCCCTGGCTTCAGCCCTCTTCTCATGGGAGTTGATGGATCTCCTGCTTCACTGGATTACTGCGAGCCACCAGAGTACGCAGAAACTCCTACAGCTCAGTACCTGCCCAAGTGGCTGCCAGCTGGAGCCCCTGCTATGGGTCTGCACAGCTTTGTGCTTGGGACCCAAGGCCCTGGTGGTGTGGACTCACAAAGGGATTACCTGTTCTGGGGTTTGCAAAAATCTGTGGGTAAAGCACAGTTCTCCGGGTGGGTAGCACAATCCCTCACTGCCTCCCTTGGCTGGAGGAGGGAGGTCTCTTTGCCCTGTGTAGCTCTTGGGTGAACTGTCGCCCAACTCTGCTTTTCCTTGCTCTCCATGGGTCACACCAACTGCCTAGTCAGTCCCAATGAGGGAATCTGGATACCTCAGTTAGAAATGCAGAATTCACTCGCTGTTTATGTTTGTCTCAGTGGGGGCTGCAGAGTAGAGCTGTTTCTACTCAACCATCTTGGCCCCTCCCCCCAATTAAAATAATTAATATTCAAAATTTGTAATTCTAATTATGAAACAGTTATAAGTAGTTAAACCTTCAAGTGGTATTTCTGTAAATGTGTAGCATTTACAGTTCTGGACTTGGTAATGCTTAAAGTGCACGATAACTTATGGGACTGCTACATAGGCATACCTCAGAGATACTGTGGGTTTGGTTTCAGGCCACTGTGGAGATGAGCTCTTTAGGGCAGTGCCCAATGGAAGTGCCATTGAGTCACATTGAGACGGAGTCAGAATGCAGTCCAGCAGTGGGGGAGCAATGAAGGCTTTTGGAGGAGGTGGAGGGCAGGCCAGACAATGGGGGTGGGTATGATGGGTGAGGGGAAAATGCAGGTGGCTTGGGTGAAGGGCGTTCTAGGGGAAGGGAAGATTCTGGTGGCCAGTTCTGCAATAAAACAAATATGGCAATAAGGCAAATCACACAGAATTTTTGGTTTCTCAGTGCATATAAAAGTTAGGTCTATACTATACTGTAGTCTATTAAGTGGGCAATACCATTATGTATAAAAAAGTCAATGTACATACCTTAGTCAAAAATTATTTTACTGTTTAAAAATGCTATCGATCACCTGAGTCTTCAACATCATGATCTTTTTGCTGGTCAGTGGCCTTGCCTCAGTGTTGTGGCTGCTGACTCATCATGGTGGAAGCTGCTGGAGGTGAGGTGGCTGTGGCAATTTCTTAAAATAAGACAACAATGAAGTTTGCTACATCAGTTGACTATTTCTTTCAAGATTCCTCTGTAGCATGCAATGCTGTTTGACAGCATTTTACCCACAGTAGAGCTTCCTTCAAATCGGAGACAATCCTCTCAAACCCTGCCACTGCTTTATCCACTAAGTTTATGCAATTTTCTAAATACTCTGTTGTCATTTCAACAAGGTTCACAGCATCTACACCTGGAGTAGTTTCCATCTCAAGAAACCACTTTCTTTGCTCATCCAAGTTCTCATTTGTTAAAATTTTGTCATGAGATTTCAGCAATTCAGCCACATCTTAAGTTCTCTTCACATCTTTTAATCTTAGTTCTCTTGCCATTTCCACCACGTCTGCAGTTACTTCTTGCACTGAAGTCTTGAACCCTCAAAGTCATCCATGAGGATTGGAATCAACTTCTTCCAAATTTCTTTTAATATTGATATTTTAACCTCCTCCCATGAATCACAAATGTTCTTAATTTTAACCTCCTCCCATGAATTGCAAATGCTTCTAGAATGGTGAAACCTTTCTAGAAGGTTTTCAACTTACTTTGCCCAGATCTATCGAAGGAACTACTATACATGGTGGCTACAGCCTTATGAAATGTATTTCTCAGATAATCAGCCTTGAAAGTCTAAATTACTCATTGATCCCTGGGCTGCAGAATGGATGTTGTATTAGCAGGCATGCAAACAGCTTTAATTTTCTTGTAGTTCTCCATCAGAGCTCTTGGGTGACCAGGTAAATTGTCAATGAACAATAATATTTTGAAAGAGATCTTTTTTTAAAGCAGTAGTTCTCAGGTGTGAGCTTAAAATATTCATGTCGTAACAGATGTGATGTCATTCAGGCTTTGTCCCATTTATAGAGCACAGGCAGAGTAGATGTAGCATAGTTCTTAAGGGCCCTAGAATTTTCAGAATGGTAGATGAGCTTTGGCTTCAGCTTAAGCCCCTAACAAAAGAGTCATCCTGTTCTTTGAAGCATTGAAGTCAGGCATTTATTTTGCTACCTGGCTGTAAAAGTCCTGGATGACATCCTCTTCCAATATAAGGCTGTTTTATCTGCAGTAAAAACCTTTGTTTAGTGTAGCCACCTTTGTTGCTTCTCTTAGCTGATCTTATGGATGACTTGCTGCAGCTTCTACATCAGCACTTGCTGCTTTTCCTTGCACTTTTATCTTATGGAGAAGACTTCTTTCCTTAAACCTCATGAACCAATCTCTGCTAGCTTCAAACTTTTTTTCTGTGGCTTCCCAACCTCTCTCAGCCTTCAGAGAATTAAGAAGAATTAGGTCCTTGCTCTTGATTAGGGTTTGGCTTAAGGAAATGTTGTGGTTGGTTTGATCTTCTATCCAAACCACTCAAACCTTCTCCATATCAGCGATAAGTCTCTTTCACTTTCATACCACTCATGTGTTCATTGGAGTAATACTTTTAATTTTCTTCAAGAACTTTTTCTTTTCATGCACAGTTTGGCTGTTAGGTGCAGGATGCCTAGTTTTTGGCCTGTTTCAGCTTTTAACATGCCTTCCTCACTCACCTTAATCATTTCTCACTTTTGATTTAAATAAGAGATGTGTGACTCTTACTTTCACTTGAACACATAGAGGCCTTTGTAGAGTTATTAATTGGCCTAATTTCAATATTCCTGTGTCTCAGAAAACAGGGAGACCTGAGGAGTTGGGGGGATGGAGGAAGGGCAGATCGATGGAACCATTCAGACACACATATGTATCAATTAGGCTCATTGTCTTTTGGAACATGGTTTGTGATGCCCCAAAACAATGACAATAGTAATATCAATGATCACTGATCACAGATTACCATAACAGATATAATAATAACAAAACATTTGAAATATTGCAAGAATTACAAAAATGTAACACAGAGATACAAAATAAGCACATGCTACCAGAAAAGTGGCACTGGTAGACTTGCTTGATGCAGGGTTGCCATAAACCTTCAACCTGTAAAAAATGCAATATCCGAGAAGCATAATAAAGTGAAGTGCAATAAAACAAGGTAAGCTTGTATATGTATGCATGCACACACCAGTACGCATCCACCTATCCACACACAAATCTTTGTACAAACAAATCCTGTATTTTCAATTCCAACAATACATCATTTACACCTTAAAAATATCTGTCAACCTTGTAGTATCTTTTCTGTCTTTGTTATCAGGGTAATGCTGGCCTCATAAAAAATGTTTGTATTCCCTCCTCTTCAACTTTTGGAAGAGTTTGTGAAGAAATGGTACTAATTCTTCTTTAAACATTTGCTAGACTTCTCCACTAAGCTATCTGGTCTTGGATTTTCCTTTTTCAGGAGCTTTTTGACCACTGACTCAATATTTTTACTCATTATTTGTGTTGATTTTCTATTTCTTCATGTTTCAATCTTAGGGGATGTATGTTTCTAGAAATTTCTCTATTTCTTCTAAGTTAAACAATTTGTTGACACATAGTTGTTTAGACTGTTATTATCCTTTGTATTTCTATGGTACCAATTTTAATATCTGCTTTTTTGTTCTAATTTTATTTATTTGAGGCTTCTCTCTTTTTTCTTAGCCTAGTGAAAGGTTGGTCAATTTTTATTATTTTTATTTTATTTTATTTTATTTTTTTGAGACTCAGTCTGGCTCTGTCTCCCAGGCTGTAGTGCAGTGGCGCAATCTCCGCTCACTGCAAGCTCTGCCTCCTGGGTTCATGCCATTCCCCTGCCTCAGCCTCCCAAGTAGCTGGGACTACAGGCGCACGCTGCCCGGCTCTGCTAATTTTTTGTATATTTAGTAGAGGCGGGGTTTCACCATGTTAGCCAGGATGGTCTTGATCTCTGACCTCGTGATCTGCCCGCCTCCCAAAGTGCTGGGATTACAGGCATGAGCCACCGCGCCCAGCCATTATGTTTTCAAAAAATCAGCTTTTTGTTTCATTGATCTTTTCTATTGTTTTTCTAGTGTATTTCATTTACTTCTGCTATCATCTTTGTTATTTCCTTCCTTCTTCTAATTTTGGGCTTCATTTTTTTTCTTTTCTATTTCTTTGAGGTTTATTGTTTATTTGAGATCTTTTTTCTTCATTTAGCACTTAACCTGTATAAACTTCCCTGTTAGAATTGCTTTTGCTTCATCTCATAAGTTTTAGTATGTTGTGCTTTCATTTTAGTTTGTCTCAAGATATTTTATTTCTTTTTTGATGTTTTCTTTGATCTATTGGTTGCTCAGGAGTGTGTTGGTTGATTTCCACATATTTGTCACTTTTCTAAGTTTTCTCCTGTTTTTAATTTTCAGTTTCATGCCACTGTGGTCAAAAAGAATACTTGATAAGATTTCAATCTTCTTAAATTTGCTAAGACTTGTTTTCTGGCCCAATATATGACCTGTGTAGGAGAATGTACTGTGTATGCTCAAGAAGAATGTGTATTTTGCTGTTTTGGAAAGTAATGTCCCGTATATGTCTGGTCCATTTGATCTATAGTGTAGTTCAAGTCATCTGTTTCCTTATTGATTATCTGTCTGAGTGATCAATCCATTGTTGAAAGTGGGATATGGAAGTCCCCAACTGTTATTGTATTATTGTTGTCACTTCTCTCTTCAGATTTGTTAATATTTGCTTTATACAATTAGGTGTTCCAATGTTGGGAGAATATATATTTGTAGTAATTATATCCTCTTGATGAATTGACCCTTGTATCATTCTATAATGACTTTCTTTCCCTCTTGTTACAGTTTTTGACTTAAAGTCTATTTTGTTTGTTGTAAGAATAGCTACTCTTTCTTTTTTTTGTTCCCTGTCTTTCCTTTCAGTCTATGTGTGTCTCTAAAGGTGAAGTGAATCTCTTATAGGCGGCATATATTTGGTTATTGTTTTACTGTCCATTCAGCCACTCTGTGTCTTTTCTAATTTGGTCCACTGATATTTAAAGTAACTATTGATAGGCATTTTGCAGTTTCTTTGTTCTTTTATTTCTCTCTTGCTGTGCATGATTTGATTATTTTGATTATTTTCTGTAGTGGTATACTTTGATTCTTTTCTGTGTCTTTGTATTAATTCTTTTTTAAACATGTGGTAAAATTTTCATTTGTGTAACTATTACATGTTTTGTCTTTGTGATTATCCTGAGGCTTCCATAAAACATCATATGCTCTCATGTGCCACATAAGGATGTTTTGGTCAATGATGGGCCACATATACAACGGTGGCCCTGTAAGGTTATAACATTTTTATTGTATCTTTTATATGTTTAGATACATTTGGATACACAAATGCTTATCATTGTATTATAATTGCCTATAGCATTCAGTATAGTACAATGCTGTACAGATTTGTAGCCTGGAAGCAATAGGTTATACCATATAGCCTGGGTGTGTAGTAGGTGGTATTATCTAATTTCGTGTAAGTATACTCTATGATATTCACACCATGACAAAATTGCATAATGAGGCATTATTCAGAACATATCCACATTAAGAAATGTATGATTATAGTTATAATGGTCTATTTTAAGTTGATAACAACTTAACTTCAAGCATATACAAAACCCTACACTTTACTCCCCTCCACTTTTTATGTTTTTTTGATGTCAGCGTTTATTTCTTTGTTTATTTTGTAGTTATATTTATTTGTAATATTTTTTGTCTTTTAACCTTTTAAAAGTTAAAGTGATTATACTCCATCATTACAGTATTAGGAATATTTTGAATTTGACTGTATAGTTACTTTTACTGGTGACTTTTTATAACTACATATGTTTTCGTGATGCTAATTAGTCTTATTGCATTTCAGTTTGAAGAACTCCCTTTAGAATTTCTTATAAAGCAGGTCTAGTGACAATGGACTCCCTTAGATTATTTTGGGGGGTTTCTGAAAAAGTCTGTAAGTCCTAGCCAGAGCAATTAAGTAAGAAAAAGAAATAAAAGGCATCCAAACTGGAAAAGAAGTGAAAGTGTCTCTATTTGAAGATGACATGATCTCATATAGAGAAAATTCTAAAGGCTCCAATTAAAAACTGTTAAAATTAAGAAACAAGCAAATTTGCAGAACACATAATTAACATTAAAAAAAAACCTGTTACGTTTTTATATACTAATAGTTGAGTATCCCAGAAAGAAATTAACAAAACAATCTCGGGCCGGGCACAGTGGCTCACGCCTGTAATCCCAGCACTTTGGGAGTCTGAGGTGGGCAGATCACAAGGTCAAGAGATCGAGACCATCTTGGCTAACATGGAGAAACCCTGTCTCTACTAAAAATACAAAAAATTAGCTGGGCGTGGTGGCAGGAGGCTGAGGCAGGAGATTGGTGTGAACCCGGGAGTCAGAGCTTGCAGTGAGCCAAGATCACACCACTGCACTCCAGCCTGGGCAACAGAGTGAGAGTCCGTCTGAAAGAACACAATCTCATTTACAATAGCATCAAAAAATTAACTACTTAGGAAGAAATTTAAATAAGACAGTAAAATTTGTATATACCAAAAACTATAAAACACTGATGAAAGAATTTGAAGAAGATACATATCCCTATTACTCAGCGCGATCTATAGATATAAAGCAACCCCATCAAAATTTCAATGGCATTTTTCAAAGAAATGGAAAAAAGCAGTTCTAAAATTTTTATGCAACCTCAAATGACCCCAAACAGTCAAAACATCCTTCAGCAGAAAAAACAAAAGTGGAAGCATCACATTACCTTATTCCAAACTAAATTATAAAGCTGTAGTAATCAAAATAGTATGCTACTAGCATAAAAACAGACATGTAGGCCAAGGGAACAGAATAGAGATCATAGAAAGAAATAAATCCATGACTTTACAATCAATTGATCTCTAGCATTGGTGCCAAGAGTACACAATGATAAAATTTAGTCTCTTTATTAAATGGTGTTGGGAAAACTGGATATCCACATGCAGAAGAATGAAACTGAACCCTTATCTCACTGTACATACAAAAATTGTCTCAAAATGGATGAAAGACCTCAACAAAGGACCAATATTGTAAGACTCTTAGATATAAATATCGGAGAAAAGCTCCTTGATACTGGTATTGGTAATAAATTTTCAGATTTGATACCAAAAGTATAGACAACAAAAGCAAAACTAGACAAATGGGAGTAAATCAAACTAAAAGCTTCAGCGCAGCAAAGGAGACAACCAATACAATGAAAAGATAACCTAAAGAATGGGAGAAAATATTTAC
Organism: Homo sapiens; assembly: GCF_000001405.40. Taxonomy (NCBI): domain Eukaryota; kingdom Metazoa; phylum Chordata; class Mammalia; order Primates; family Hominidae; genus Homo; species Homo sapiens. Next base: position 67,001,386 of record NC_000009.12, read on the forward strand.
ACACTATACATCTGATAAGAAGTTAATATCCAAATAAATTAGGAACTCAGACAATTCCAAAGGATCTTGTATTGGTCTGTTTTCATGATGCTGACAAAGACATACCAGAGACTGGGTAATTTATAAAGAAAAAGGTTTGGCCAGACACGGTGGCTCATGCCTGTAATCCCAGCACTTTGGGAGGCCGAGGCAGGCAGATCATGAGGTCAGGAGATTGAGATCATCCTGGCTAACATGGTGAAATCCTGTCTGTATTAAAAATACAAAAAATTAGCCAGGTGTGGTGGTGGGTGCCTGTAGTCCCAGCGACTTGGGAGGCTGAGGCAGAAGAATGGCGTGAACCTTGGAGGTGGAGCTTGCAATGAGCAGAGATCACACCACTGCACTCCAGCCTGGGTGACAGAGCCAGACTCCATCTCCAAAAAAAAGAGGTTTAATGGATTCACAGTTCCACGTAGCTGGGGAGGCCTCATAATCACAGTGGAAGGTGAAAGGCATGTCTTACATGACAGCCAGCAAGACAGGATGAAAGCCAAGCAAAAGGGGAAACCCGTTATAAAGCAATCAGATCTCATGAGACTTATTTACTACCATGGGAACAGTATGGGAGAAACTGCCCCCATGATTCAATTGTCTTCCACCAGGTCCCTCCCACAACATGTGGGAATTATGGGAACTACAATTCAAGAGGAGATTGGAGTAGGGACACAGCTGAATCATATCATTCTGCCCCAGCTCCTCCCAAATTTCATGTCTTCACATTTGAAAACAAATTATGCCTTCCCAACAGTCCCTCAACATCTTAACTAATTTCAATATTAACTCAAAAGTCCACAGTCCAAAGTCTTATCTGAGACAAGGCAAGTCCCTTCGAGCTATGAACTCATAAAGTTAAAAGCAAGTTAGTTACTTTCCAAATACAATGGAGGTACAGGGAGCAGGTAAACATACCTGTTCCAAATGGGTGAATTTGGCCAAAACAAAGAGGCTACAGGCCCCAAGTCCAAAATCCAGCAGGCCTGTCAAATCTTAAAGCTCCAAAGTGAACTCCTTTGACTCCATGTCTCACATCCAGGTCACACTTATGCAAGAGGTGGGCTCCCATGGCCTTGGGCAGCTCCACCCCTGTGGCTTTGCAGGAAATAGCCCCCCTCTTGGTTGCTTTCATGGACTGGCATTGTCTGTAGCCTTCCTGTGTGCATGATCAAGCTTTTGGTGGCTGTACCTTTCTGGGGTCCGGAGGACAGTGGCCTTCTTCTCACAGCTCCAGTAGGCAGTACCTCAGTGGGGACTCTGTGTGGGGGCTTCAACCCCATATTTCCCTTCTGCACTGTCCTAGCAGAGGTTTTCCATTAGGGCACCACCCTTGCAGCAAAATTCTTTCTGGACATCTAGGAGTTTCCATACATCCTCTGAAATCTAGGCAGAGATTCCCAAACCTCAATTCTTGACTTCTGTGCACCCACAGGCGCAACACCATGTGAAACTGCCAAGGTTTGGGGCTTGCACCACCTGAATCCACAGTCCAAGCTGTACCTTGGACCCTTTTAGCCATGGCTAGAGTAGCTGGGATGCAGGGTATCAAGTCACTAGGTGGCAAACAGCAGGGGGCCCCTGAATCCAGCCCAGGAAACCATTTTTTCCTTTTAGGCCTCTTGGCCTGTAATGGGAGGGACTGCTGCAAAGGTCTCTGACATGTCCTGGAGATATTTTCCCCATTGTCTTGGTGATGAACATTTGGGTCCTTGTTGCTTATGCAAATTTCTGCAGCTGGCTTGAATTTCTCCTCAGAAAATTGGTTTTTCTTTTCTATCACATTGTTTGGCTGCAAATTTTCCAAAGTTTTATGCTGTTTCCTTTTAAAACTGAATGCTTTTAACAGCACCCAAGTCACCTCTTGAGTGCTTTGCTGCTTAGAAACTTATTCTGCCAGCTACCCTAAATCATCTCCCTCAAGTTCAAAGTTCCACACATCTCCAGGGCAGGGGCAAAATGCTGCCAGTCTCTTTGCTAAAGCATAGCAAGATTTTCCTTGACTCCAGTTCCCAACAAGTTCCTCATCACTATCTGAGACAACCTCAGCCTGAATTTCATTGTCCATATCATTATTAGCATTTTGGTCAAAGCTAGTCAACAAATCTCTAGGGAGTTCCAAACTTTTTCACATTTTTCTGTCTTTTTCTGAGCCCTCCAAACTGTTCCAACCCCTGCCTGTTACCCAGTTCCGAAGTTGGTTCCACATTTTTGGATAACTTTACAGCAGCACCCCACTCTACCAGTACCAATTTACTGTATTCATCTGTTTGCATGCTGCTGATAAAGGCATACCAAAGACTGTGTGATTTATAAAGAAAAAGAGGTTTAATGGACTCACAGCTCCATGAGGCTGGGGAGGCCTTACTTATGGTGGGAGGCTAAAGGCACATATTACACAGCAGCAGGCAAGACAGAATGAAAGCCAAGTGAAAAAGGAAATCCCTTATAAAACAATCGGATCTTGTGAGGCTTATTTACTACCACAAAAACAGTATGGGGAAAACCGCTCCCATGATTCAACTATCTCCTACTGGGTCCCTCCCATAACACATGGGAATTATGGGAGCTACAATTCAACATGCGATTTGGGTGGGGACGCAGCCAAAGCATATCAGACCTGAAGAGATACATTTCTAAAGGACATACGATTGACAATAGGTATGTATTAAGAAAAAGATGTTTGCCATCACTAATCATCAGGAAAATGCACAATGAGATATCACCTCACATCTATTAGGATGGCTTTTATAACAGTAAAAAGGTAACAAATGTTGCTGAGGATATTGAGAAACAGAAACCCTTGTGCTTAGTTGATAGTTGATGGGAATGTAAATTGGTACAGCCATTACAGACAACAGTATGGAGTTTCCTCAAAAAATTAAAAATGGAACTCCCATATAATCCAGCAATCTCACATCTGGGTATATATCCAAAGTAAAGAAAATCACTATCTCAGAGAGATATATATACTTACATGTTTATTACAGTGTTATTTACACAGCCAAGGTATGGAAACTACCTGTGTCCATTGACAGATGAATGGATGTTTTAAATGTATTACACACACACACACACACACAGACACACACAAATATGTAATGGAATATCATTTAGCCTTTAAAAATGAGGAAATACTGCCATTTGTAACAAGATGGATAAACCTGGAGTTTATTATGGTAAGTAAAATAAGCCAGGAACAGATGCAAAAAAATCCTGCATGATTTCACTTATATGCATACTAAGAAAATGTCAAACTCATGGTAACAGAGTAAAATAGTGCTTACTAGGGCCTGGGAGTTGGGGGAAAAGAAAAAATGTTTGTCAGAAAGTACAAACTTTCAGTTATAAGATGAATAAGTTCTGGAGATCTAATGTACAGCATAGTGACTAAAGTCAATAATAATGTATACTTGAAATTTGCTGAAAGAGTAGATCTCAAGTGTTCTCCACCACACAAACACAAATAAAAAGGTAACCAGGTGAGGTGATGAATATGTTAGCTTGATTGTGGTAATCATCACTTCACAATGTATATGTATATCAAAATATCACACTGCATACCTTAACTATATACAATTTTTCTTTGTTAATCAATAAAACTGGCAAAAATATCTTTTACATGTTGCCTTGACTCCATTTCTTATTTTGTCAAAATAGATAGTCCTCACTGTTTGCATAAGTTTAGAAACTTGTGCTACATCCAGAAGTCAGGAGTGGGGTAGGGTGAACTAAGTTACTGATTCTTTAGGAACCTTAGGGTGTGAGGTGGGACTGGAGTTCAAGGTCTAGGAGCTCAGTCTGGTCTTGAGCAGCTTCTTTTTTATTTTGTTTTGTTTTGCTTTGAGACTGGGTCTCACATTCTTGCCCAGGCTGGAGTGCAGTGGCAAAATCTGGGCTCTCTGTAACCTCCGCCTCCCGGGCTCAAGCAATCCTCTCACCTCAGCCTCCCATGTAACGGGAACCACAGGCATGTGCCACTATGGCTAGCGAATTTTTTTGTATTTTTGGTAGAGATGGGGTTTCCCTTGCTGCCCAGGCTGGTCCTGAACTCCTGAGCTCAGGTGATCCACCCACCTTGGCCTCCCATAGTGCTGGGATTGCAGGTATGAGCCACCATGCCTGGCCATGAGCAGCCTCTTCTGATATCCCTAGTGTGTTCTGTACACATTTTCTTTGTCTGAATGCGCCTTTCCTTTCTCTCTATTGGTCTACAGATTTTTTCCTTCTTTAGGATATTATTAACTTGAATTCAAATTTTTATCAAAAATTGGACCTAGCTCTTTTTATTCATATTTTCCTGCTATATTTTTTACACTAATTTATTTTCGATAAGTTTTATTGAGTGTTTTTTTGACACTTAAAAATTTTACCTGACAATCTTAACCTTTGATTTATGTAATTATTGTTCCATTATGAGTTATTTCTGTCATCTCATTTTATGATTTTTCATACTTTCTTTACTGTTTATTTTTTCCTATTGTACCTTTCACTCTATAGATCAAATCTTTTTCTATTTGTTTGAAATCTGGAAATTTTTAACATTGTAATGGTGGTTATATCATTATTTATGTTAATTTTCTCAATTTCTGATATGTGTCAAAATTAATATCATCTCAGCAAACAAGATAAGTGCTCTAGCTTCCTCTTGCCACCTCTGGTTTGCTTTCTCTGTTACGACAGCACTTTGTCTAAGGGGGTGCTTTCTGAAGTTTACTTGGGGTTGTTTTCAATATGTTATGTTTTCATTTATTTTTTAGAGTATGATAAACACCACTACCATTGATTCTGGAACCCTCAATTCTAACACCACGGTGTATTTCTCTTCTTAGTGGAGTATGACCTCTAAGCATTTTCAAAGGGATTTATTTGAAATAAAACTTTTGAGGCCTTACTTTTTAATGTCTTTTTCTGGGCTTTCATATTTAAAAGATTGTGGCTGCAAATAATTCAAGGATTAAAATTGGTTTCCTTTTAATCCTTGAAAAATATTACTTCATTTTATTCTTGTCTCCAGCATTGCTGTTGGAAAGGCTGACACCAATCAAAACCAATTTTTCCCTAAAGGATGATCTGTCTTCTCATCATTTTGACAGGATGTAACAAAACAAAGGAGTCTTCAATGTTCTGAGTATAAATCATTTTGCAATTATAAACTTAACTTAATATTAATGCAATACAAAAAGAATTAAAACCTTCTTGAGACATGCAAGTGCACAGGAAAATTAAGTATCATGCACTCATTCAGGAAGAAAAGGTGCAAAAGAAATTTAATGAAAGAGATGGTCGTTAGATGCAAGTGTGGCTGAATGTAGGGATGCGATGCTGACACGTGGCAGCAGGCCTGGCAAGCTGTCTATCCCAATTCAACTACTTCAGAAAGAGAAGAATATTAACTAGGCTATCTTGGTGATGTGCTGAAAAAAGTGCTGTGTTTCCTTTTTAATCATTCAAAACAAAGGTAGTAAAATTCCCGGGAAATAAGAAATAATGCATCATAAATGTATAAAAGTTGAGGAAAATACTATATTTTTATGAATTTAAAATGCCATCTCATTTAGATTGTTATGTCTTTTCAGAAGTGCTTTAAAATTGATGGCACATAGTAAAAAATGGCATAAATTCCAACAATTAATGGAAAAACATTAATCCATCTTCTTGAGTCTTGGAACCAGGATTCTTTTGGGAGGCTTCGGTGTATCTGTGTATCATTTCATTGCCTTCACACAAATCAAATCACGCCACCTGCGACTGTGGTTTGAAAAAAAAAGAAAACATAATAATGATGCTGTCAATTCACTTGAGATTCCATGATCAAAATTAACCTACGAACAAAGCACAGACTTTATTATAATTACAAAATAGGATGTAATTTACATAAAATGTGAAAATATAAGCATAGAACGAAATTTGATACAAGTCGAAAGCTATGACAGGGACTGTTGGAGGGGAGGGAAGTTGTACACTAATCTCCACATCCTACTGAGCCAATCAGTGGTGTTCAAATTGGATGGACCATATATTATCTAAACAGTATATTATTTAAGCAAAGAATTAAGCACTGTAAGTATATTATTTAGAGAAAGCAAATTTTTAAAAAATCCCATAAAATTATATATTAAAGACTAAATTGGAAATATAGTTTTAGAAGAAGAAAGTAGGGTAAATGAGCTATATTCTCTACCGTTCATAAAAAGTCAAGAGATATTACTTAAAATTGTTAAAACAAAATTAGGTGATTGTATAATATTATTTACAGTTCAAGAGAATAGCATATAGTAAAAAAAGAAAATGATAAACCTTGTCTAACTCTGAAAAACAGGACCAAGGTCTATGGAAGGAAAAAAAAAAGTTTCTGGTTTTCACTGGTTTTTTGCCCATCAAACTGTTTGAATGATTTTCAATGCACATGTGTTGGTTTAATTTTAAAATGTTCTTACTTACAGATCCCCTTGAATTACGTGTAAAATTAGGTTTCCTTTAGTCAATGGTGTATGAAAAGTAATCAACTCATCTAATTGAAGTTAGACATTAATAAATAATAAATTGGGGAGAACATAAATATACTCATTAAAAACAACCAGAACATAGCACTTGGCTCTATGTTCTGCTTATCTAGGAAGTGGAATTCTTAAAATTAAAACAAAATAATAAGGAGCTTCACATTTTCTTTTTCTTCTTTTTTTTTTTTTTTTTTTTGAGATGGAGTCTTGCTCTGTTGCCCAGGCTGGAGTGCAGTGGCACGATCTTGGCTCACTGCAACCTTCACCTCCCGGGTTCAAGCGATTCTCCTGCCTCAGCCTCCCGAGTAGCTGGGACTACATGTGCGCATCACCACGCCCAGCTAATTTTTGTATTTTTAGTAGAGACGGGGTTTCACCAGATTGGACAGGATGGTCTCGATCTCTTGACCTTGTGATCCACCTGCCTCGGCCTCCCAACGAGCTGGGATTACAGGCATGAGCCACTGCACTTGGTCGGAGTTTCACATTTTCTGAAAAATGTTAGAAATAAAAATGCAAGTGTTTCACTTAGATAAAGCTCTCATAATCACTGGTAGACTAAAGTCAATTTAGATTACCATTTATATTTTCAAATTTATAATATGACCAATATTGCCATCAAAATGTTCAGGCACAGAATGGTTTAAAGTAGCTGTCTTATTATTTCTCAATATTCTCTTTTCTTCTATGATTGGCATCACCAATCATGGTTGGAACATCTTTTTTTTATTTTATTTTTTATTTTATTTTATTTATTTATTTTGAGACGGAGTCTCACTGTGTTGCCCAGGCTGGAGTGCAGTGGCGTGATCTCGGCTGACTGCAAGCTCCACCTCCCAGGTTCTCACCATTCTCCTGCCTCAGCCTCCCGAGTAGCTGGCACTACATGTGCACACCACCATGCCCAGCTAATTGTTTGTATTTTTTAGTAGAGACAGAATTTCACCGTGTTAGCCAGGATAGTCTCAATCTCCTGACTTCGTGATCTGCCCGCCTCAGCCTCCCAAAGTGCTGGGATTACAAGCTTGAGCCACCGCACCCAGCCATGGTTGGAGCATCTTACCAAGGAACTATACTTGTAGTTTTTGAGTGGAAACAAGGGAGAAATTTTATTCATGCCTTGACCTAATTAATAATGCGTAACTAGATTCTGATGGCCGTTATCAATAGAACTGTCATCCGATTCAAAGAGCACTGGGCCGGGCGCGGTGGCTCACGCCTGTAATCCCAGCACTTTGGGAGGCCGAGGCGGGTGAATCATGAGGTCAGGAGATCGAGACCATCCTGTCTAACAAGGTGAAACCCCGTCTCTACTAAAAATACAAAAAATTAGCCGGGCGCGGTGGCGGGCGCCTGTAGTCCCAGCTACTCGAGAGGCTGAGGCAGGAGAATGGCGTGAACCCGGGAAGCGGAGCTTGCAGTGAGCCGAGATTGCGCCACTGCAGTCCGCAGTCCGGCCTGGGCGACAGAGCGAGACTCCGTCTCAAAAAAAAAAAAAAAAAAAAAAAAAAAGATTCAAAGAGCACTGTTTGTCTCCTCTAATATGGAGAAATGCCACAAATAAGTGGGAAATAATTTAATGACTGTAGTTCATTTTTAATCATATAGCTGAGTGATATTTTAAGTCTGACAAGAATAGATATTTGAACAAAAATAGCCAATTCTCTGTTACATAATTTAATACATTTGTGTTAAGAGGTTTAGACAATAAAGTTAATTTTGAAATGCATTATAAATAACTGAGTAATTAGCAATCATTAAGTTTATTTTTAAATAAGTATTTAGATAACTAATTAGCAATCATTAAGTTCATTTTTAAATAACTGTTTAGTCCACAAAAAATAAAAAATATATTTTAGAAAGGGAGGGCATTCCAAAATCTGTCTCAGGAGCATTCAATCTCAAATATATTTTAATGAAGCAGAAATGTAAATACATGTTTAGATAATTTAGGTTAAAAAAGGTAAATTTTGGTTGCCTGCTTAACTTTTATGAAACAGATATTTTTCATTCAAGTCCAGCATATATTTTGCTATGACTTTCACATCCTTTCCTCAGAGACTATTTACCTAAACATTAGGGTACCAAAGGAACTAGGAAACAAAAACTTGTTAGAGAGAAAAATTTTAAGTGAGGCACACATTCTGGTGATATTAATTTGTTTTTGACATTTTATTAATATTTTGAGAACACTAAGAAAATAAAATCCAAAGGGGCAAGCAGGTATCATTGTCTCAGCCTGGGCCCTCTTTTGTCATCCTCTGTAAGATGGCAGTCATCAAAGAGCGTGACCCAAGAAGAAAGTAAAACAGTGGAACAAATGAGCATTTCTCTAAATACAAACAGTAGAGTCCCTGAGAAAGAATCCTTTAAGGCCTTAGGTTTCTTTAAACATTTTTAAATAAATAGTCTGGCCTATGCAGAACAAAATGAAATGGTGATAATGAACAGGATAGTGAAGTTTTGTACTAACTGACATAAACGACGAGTTGATTAATGCTTAGGATAGTGTGAAAGAAGAATTGAAAGCAAAATGCAAATCAAAAGAAGAAATACCCAGACAGACTCTTTCCTAAAACATGCATCATAAAATATTTAAAAGCATCTGCTTTAATGCATGGGCTGAGTCAAAGTAAGGCAAATTTTCAGATATCTACAAGAGCAAAAAAAGTTTGAATCCAGAGGTGTGAGTGTCTCATCTGGCATTTGCCCTGGGGTGTCTCCCAGGAACTATTGGCCCAGAACCATGAGCACCTAATTCAGGAGACAGAGACTGATGCCCATGCAGGGAGGAATATAGGCTAAAATGCCTCCTGCATAAATCTAGGATTTCTAAAGAGAAGCATGTTAAGTGGGGCTAGGAAAATCCCACTCCCATAAGAAGAAAGTGAAAATCTATGCTTGTCTTGGTTTCAATAGGGTAGACAAGAAAAAAGAAAAAAAAAGGTAATTTCTAAGTATAAGTCAATAGACATATTGGTTTGGATTTGAATTCACACTATCTATGGGCCTGAGAAATACCAGGATGGAAATTAGCCTCTGGCAGTGAGAGGTTAGGCCAGCTGCACTTCCTGGGTCGAGTGCGGACTTGGGGAACTTTCCTGTCCTACAAGGAATTTGTAAAATGCACCAATCAGCCTCTGTAAAACACACCAATCAGCAGGATTCTAAAAGTAGTCAATAGTGGAGAGGATTGAAAAAAGGGCACTCTGATAAGACAGAAACGCAACATGGGTGGGAAGAAATAAGGGGATAAAAGCTGGCCACCCGCAACCAGCAGCAGCAACCAGGTGGGGTCACCTTCCAGGGTGTGGAAGTTTTGTTCTTTCGCTCTCAGCAATAAACCTTCCTAGGCTCACTTTTTGGTTCCGTGCCATCTTTAAGAACTGTAACACTCACCAGGAAGGTCCACAGCTGCATTCTTGAAGTCAGGGAGACCACGAACCCACCGGAAGGAACCAACTCTGGACACAGTCCTGCAAACTAGTTAATCTGAGTACAATCATAAAGAGAAATATATTTTGCACTAATACTGGGAAACAGATTTTGTAACACAGCTTTCATTGTTGTTAAGTGAAGATAGTATATTTTACAATAAGCAACACTGGGACCACTGATCTCCATAAGGGAAAAAAATGAAATTGAAACTTAATCCCGGAGAACAAACATAAAAATATATTTTAACGGATAAAGATAGCTTCTCAACATTTTTAGAAAAAAACCTGGGAATAATTATTTTTTTCTTTTTTGAGATGGAGTCGCTCTGTTGCCCAGGCTGGAGTGCAGTGGCGCGGTCTCGGCTCACTGCAAGCCACCTCCTCTCCCATGTTCATGACATTCTCCTGCTTGAGCCTCCGGAGTAGCTGGGACTACAGGCGCCCGCCACCCCGCCTAGACTAATTTTTTGTATTTTTAGTAGAGACAGGGTTTCACCGTGGTAGCGAGGATGGTCTCGATCTCCTGACCTTGTGATCTGCCCACCTCGGCCTCCCAAAGTGCTGAGATTACAGGCGTGAGCCACCGCGCCCGGCCATATCTTTTATCTTTACATGGGGAAGAAGAACAAACTGAAAGAGGAAAAATTGATTTGATAACACAAAAATTTAATACTTCTGTTTATTAAAGGATACTGCAATGTGAAAAAAAATACCCAAAACTTGGCAGAGCTATTTGCAACACATCTTACCTAGAAAGGTCTGGTATCCAGAATATGCCTCCTATAAATAAGTGAAAAATAACATGTCTGTTGAGAAGTTAGCACAAATACCCCATAAGCATGTAAAAAGTGCTCAACCTCATAATAATCATGAAAATGAAAATTAACAATTAGATATCCTTTCACACATATTGACAATTTTTTTTTTGAAGTTCTGAAACGTGTGGTATTGGCACGGATAAAGAACCATGGAAGTATTCATCCCACACACTAAAGTAGGACAGCCATTTGGAAAACAGACAGATGCTGGCTCATACAGCTGATCATAATGTACCCTATGACCCAGTGACTTCACTACAACCTAGTGCAACCTAGTCAGCCTGTTACAGGCCCCAGAAAAATTCTTGCGTTTGTTTACCTAGAGATATATGAGAATGTTCCCAATTTTAAAAACCTGGAAACAATCTAGTTATCTCTCAATATGGGTAGATAGTGGACTGGGTAACTAAATGATCATATATTCCGATAATAGAGTACCTCGCAGCACTAAGAGTGAATGAACTGCAGCTATTCACATTCTCAAATACAGCACTGCAATGAGATACTACTGCATGTGTATTAGAATGGCAAAAATCCAGAACCCTGACAACACCAAATGCTGATGAGGATGTGAAGCAACAGGAGCTCTCATTCAGTGCTGATAGAAATACAAAATGGAGAACAGTTTTGTGGCTTCTTAGAAAACTAAATCTACTCTTATTATACGACCCAGCAATCTTGTTTCTTGGTATATATCCAAAGGAGTTGAAAACTTATGTCCACACAGAAACCTGCACACAGATGTTTATGGAAGCTTTATTTATAATTGCAAAAACTTGGAGACAAGCAAGATTTCCTTCAGTAGGTGAATTAACAAACTGTGGTACATCCAGACAATTGAATATCATTCAATGATAAAATAAATGAGCTGTTGGCCGGGTGAGATGGCTCACGCTTGTAATCCCAGCACTTTGGGAGGCCGAGGCAGGCAGATCACGAGGTCAGCACATAGAGACCATCCTGGCTACCACGGTGAAACCCCGTGGCTACTAAAAATACAAAAACTTAGCCAGGTGCAGTGGCAGGTGCCTGTAGTCCCAGCTACACGGGAGGCTGAGGCAGGAGAATGGCGTGAACCCGGGAGGTGGAGCTTGGCTTGCAGTGAGTGGAGATCACGCCACTGCCCTCCAGCCTGGGCGACAGAGCAAGACTCCCTCTAAAAAAAAATAAAAAAATAAAATAAATAAAATAAAAAATAAAAAGAGCTGTCAAGCCACGAAAAGACACAGAGGACGCTTATATGCATATTACAAAGTGAAAGAAGCCAATCTAAAACGGCTACATACTGTCACTTCCAACTATATGACCTTTCTGGAAAAGGTAAAACTATAGAGATAGAAAAAAAAAATCAGTGGTTTCCAGGAGTTAGGAGGAAGAGAGGAATGAATAACTAGAGCACAGAGGATGCGTAGGGCCCTGAAAGTACATGTATGATATTTTAATAGTGAATACTTGTCATTGTAAATTTGTCCAAGCCCGAGTGTGAACCTTAATGCAAACTATAAGATGTATCATGTATCATTAATTGTAACAAATGCAACACTCTGGTGGGGGGCGTTTATCATGAGAGAAGCTATGCATGTGTGGGGGGCAGGGAGTATATGGGAAATCTATACCTTCTGCTCAGTTTTGCTGTGAACTTTAAACTGCTCTAAAAAATAATGTGTGTGTACATGTATATATATATATATATATGCATACACATGTTTGTGTGTATGCATATCTAATCACAAGTAACAATACATAGTTGGCCAGGCACGGTGGCTCACGCCCGTAATCCCAGCACTTTGGGAGGCCGAGGTGGGCAGATCATGAGGTCAGGAGATCGAGACCATCCTGGCTAACACGGTGAAACCCCATCTCTACTAAAAAATATATAAAAAATTAGCCAGGCGTGGTGGTGGGCACCTGTAGTCCCAGCTACTCGGGAGGCTGAGGCAGGAGAATGGCATGAACCCAGGAGGCGGAGCTTGCAGTAAGCGGAGATCACGCCACTGCACTCCAGCCTGGGCAACAGAGGGAGACTCCGTCTCAGAAAAAAAAAACAAGAAACAATACACAGTTTCACTTATTAAAAAAGTCAAACATGTGCAAAACTAAACAATATGCAAGTCTATAATGACAAGCAATGGAATGATTAACAGGAAGTTAGGGATAGTGGTTACCTCTTGTGGAAAGAGTGAGTGGCATTGAAGAAGGGCAATGGGAGTTTCTAAGATACTGGAAATATTCTATTTCATAACCTGAAGGAAGGGCGCATATGCTCATTTTATATTCTTCTTAAGCTGTACACACACACTTTTATATTTATGATCTATTTCATTAAGTAACAAGACATATATATGCATTTGTAAATAAGTGAGATTAACACATTTTTGGATACATATAACATATCAAAGTTGACTCAAATAATTAGAAAATCTAGATGGAAATCATACCATTAAAGTAATTGAGTTAATAATTAATAATTCTACAAAGAAAACATGATGCCTAGATGATGTCACCAGTAGTTCCAATGTTACACTAATAATCTGCGAGGGGAAAAAAAAGAGACCATTCTTTAATTCATATGATACTAGGATAACCTTGCTATGGTGTACCTCATCCATGCACACAGACAAATAGTGTAAACAAAATACTAGGAAGTATACCTAGCAAAGTATAAAAACCATGAACAAGCTCGGTTAGTAATGCAAATTTAGTTCAGTGTTAGAAAATCTACTGAAATTATCTCCTTATCAACAAATTAAAGACAAAAATTATATGATTGTCTCAAAAGGCCTATAAAATTATTTTACAGCTGGGCACAGTGGCTCACGTCTGTAATCCCAGCACTTTGGGAGGCTGAGGCGGGTGGATCACGAGGTCAGGAGATTGAGACCATCCTGGCTAACACAATGAAACCCTGTCTCTACTAAAAAAAAAAAAAAAAATTAGCTGGACGTGGAGGCGGGCGCCTGTAGCCCCAGCTACTCGGGAGGCTGAGCCAGAAGAATGGTGTGAATCCGGGAGGCGGAGCTTGCAGTGAGCCGAGATCCTGCCACTGCACTCCAGCCTGGGCCACAAAGTGAGAATCCCTCTCAAAAAAAAAAAAAAATTTACGAAAATTAAATTATTGATATTTCCACCTATGAATAAAGGGTAACTTCCTTAACCTGATAAAAGGAGTCGACAAATAACCTACAGCACCTATCATGTTTTGTGATTAAAAATATTGAAATCACTCCTTTTAAAATCAAGAAAAAGACAAGAGTACCATTGTCACTAAACTGCTTCCAAAGCTTATATGGAAGAGAAAAGGGCCCAGTATAACTAAGACAATCCCATAGAAGACTAAAGTGTGCGAAGGTGGGAGGTGGAGCTTATGTGAGTCTATCTCGTACCAGATTTGCTGTGAAGTTATAATTACCACAGCAGGAATTGCTATTGTGAAAGTGTATGCTTGTGTGAAATCTTGATGTATGCCCTGGCTAACATTACAGAACAGTCAGAAAGGGTCTATATGAACCATGGTATGAGCAATTGGTATCCATATGGGAAAATATCAGAATGCATCTCTATCCCAAAAATGGATCCCTATCACACAAAGGCCAGATCTAAATGGACAAAGGACTTAAATTTGAGATGCAAATATTTAAAAATCTTTTAGAAGAAAATATAGGAGGGTAACTTATTACATGCCACACCTACTATGTGTACTTTGTACGATGCAAGTGTTGGATATGAGTGTAGTATGTAAGTGTAGATGCCTCTAAGCAGTATATACATGCTTGCTACTTTACACACGTGAAACACTGGGAATGGGAGCATGAGAGGAAACCCTAGGTCATTCTGGTCTCCAGACTGCTGCTCCTGCCCAACCCCGGTTCCAGCACTCCCTTCCCCATTCTCCTATCCAGATCCTCTGTTCCAGGCACAGCCACTTACAGCAGCTCAAGCCAGTGGCACCCACGGAGAGGCCCTCTTCACCCTACTGCTGGGCTGTCATGTCCCCTTTCTTTTCTTTCTGAAAAACAGTTTTCTCTGCCTGTGACTCCTCATGTTTCACTCTCTCTAAAGCACATGGAAGCCTGGTTCCCTCCTCTGCTTTATCACACCTGTTGCTGTGAGTTCCACTAGTGACCCTGCATGACAAATTCGGAGGTTTGCTCCCTTTTGCATAGCGTAAAATGTTTACCTCGTGACATACTTGATAAATACAATTTTATAATTGTTAAGCTATCTATATATTCTGTATCTGTTTCAAAAATTATTTATAGGCGAGGCAAGGTGGTTCATGCCTGTAATCTCAGCAGTTTGGGAGGCTGAGGTGAGAGGATCATGAGGTCAGGAGATCGAGGCCATCCTGGACAACATGGTGAAACTCTGTCTCTACTAAAAATACAAAAATCAGCTGGGTGTGGCAGCATGCACCTGTAATCCCAGCTACTCAGGAGGCTGAGGCAGGAGAATCGCTTGAACCCAGGAGGCGGAGATTGCAGTGAGCCAAGATCGTGCCACTGCACTCCAGCCTGGCGACAGAGCGAGACTGCGTATTCAGCCCCCCCCAAAATATAAAGACAATGTCAATTATGCCACACATAGGTTGTTTTTATTCCATAATATTGCTCTCCATATGTGTAATATGTTTCTACTTCACACATAGTTTTGATCAAAGATTAATCTATTGCACAGATATTTTTCTTAGTAATTAATAAAACTCAGCTTGGATTTCTTTAGCTAGATAAAACACCTTATACTAAGTGAATCAATCAAAGCTCTTTGTTGGAGTGAGATCTGAAAACTTTCGCTCAAGCTGGCTGCCTCAGCTTCACGGCATCAAATAATGGAGGGAGAAGTGGAGGCTGACATGCAGCAAGAATGACTGTGTGTGTGCTGGAGAGATATTTTGTTTAATTCATTTACAAGATACTCATGCCACACTGCTACGTGCCAAACAGCTGTTCTTGCTACTTGGTAAAAATTAATCAACTAATAGTTGAAAAGTTAATTGTTGTAATGTGACTTCAGTATGGCCAATCTCCGGGATTGAGAGCCAAAAAAAAGCATCACCATCATGATTGAGAAATGGAGTTACTGGCAGTAATGGAGCAAACCACGATTCTGCACTTGGACACAGAATTATTCCTGACAAGATCCTGGCTCCTAACTCTTCCACCAAAACCGAGTCTGCAGCTCCCACACTGAAATGCCGCTCATTTCACCCCAAGTGTGTTCCAGCCATTCCTTCTTCTCCTTCCTACCAGCTCTGTAATGTCTCCATCACAATGCTAAGGTCAGGGTCAATGGCACTTCGTTTCAGAAACTTTCTGAGAGCCCTGGAAAGTAATCTCTTCTTGTTCTTATTCCATGATCTCCTGCACCTTCTTTAAATCACTGATGATCATTTGTGTAGATGAGTTGTCTCCGTGTGTGTCTGACCTTTCTCCCAGTTGGTGAGTTCTGGAATCCAGGAAGCATTTTAGTAAAGTAATAGTTTTCAGTAATTTAGTTCACCTCTGTGCACCCTACAGCCGTTTCTCACATGTTGGGGCTGCCCAGTGAGCACTTGCTGAGGGAAACTGCAGGGAGACTTGCAGGTCAGGTTCACTGAGCCAGAAAGTGAAGCAAACTGAGAGGGCAAAGTGCAAGACACTGGCTGAAATATATGAACACACTGGGGAAACAAACATCTCCGGCCTCTGTGGAGGCGGAACACAGTCGCTGAGGTCTGTGATTCAGCAGCACCCACCTGGCAAAGCATGCTCAGCATCGGGCTTCGTTCTCCCATAGTGCTTTCATGGTGAGGAAGAAAAGCTATACATACTAACATGGGCCAGCTGGAAACCACAGCTATATAGTATTGCTTTTCAGCTTTTCAGCTGGAATTCCGAAAGAACTCTGAGGTCATGTAGAATGCGGCATACTGTTAGATGGGGCCTGGGTGGGCTTGGTGTTAGAGGACCTGCCCCAGGTCATGGTCTGTGGTGCGGAGGGAGGGTGCGATTTCCCATCCCCTTATCTCTTTGTCCCATCTTTTTTGCCCTGTACACACATGATCGTCCTCAATATCTTAAGTAGAATCTCCCATATAGCTAAAATTGATATTGGCATCTAAAGTATGCCTAACTTAGCTGAATATTTGGCCTTTGCCTTTAAAGGATCTGTAAGTTATTGGGATGAGACCAAGGAGAAAAAGGAAGACCATAGATAAGCATAATCTGCCATCCAATAATTTCATGACATGCTTATCCTTGGAATAAAGTTGGACTGTTGTCAGGAAACTGTCCCACCATTTTTGTTGCATGTAGAGACCTCCATTGCTATGGCCTCCATTGTAATGGGCTGTCATTGGGTTTGAAAAAAGTCTACATGTTGATTTTGATGGCAATAAAAGAGTCAGAGGTGCAAGCTGGAGCAAGGTGCTTGCCAAAGCTAGGCCTTTCCCCTCCCTCAGGAACTGGCAACAAGAGCAAGAGTTAGCTTCCTGAATGTTTGCATTTCAAAGAGACAGCTCTCAGGTCTTTGAGGAGACAATTCTGGGATGTAGATTTACACTTCAAAGGCAGAGAAAAGATTTATAATTGCAAGCTTTCTAAGGTTCTAAGAGGGGATTCGGGGCTCTACCTGCCCATCACCAGGTTTTGCCTGAAACAAACAGTAAATTCTCCTTGCAAGTGAGCTTTCTCAGGCAGTCATTTTAAGGAGGGCTGGGGTCATCTGTGGGACATCCTTGTGCTGCTGGAAGCCTCACTAGAGTTTGGTCCTCTCTTTGGGCAGGGGTTTGGAAGGAGTAGTTAAGTACTGCGAGGCCTGCGTTCTCATGACCAAAGTTCACAAATGCCCATTTCCTTCTTTCTTTCTTTTTCTTTTTTTTAATATTTAAAAATCTTTATGTGTCTATTAACACCTTTTGGAAATTTCCATCCCTTTCAAACTATGTTCCAGTCAAACAAAACAAAGTGTGGCCCAGCAGCCCTGGGGAGTCTCTGGGTGAAGGGGAGATGAGCACACAAATGTTGAGAGTTTGAGAACCCCTGGCCTTGATCTTTATGATAGTTGGTCAAGTGGTCATCAGTGAAATCCACAGGGATTCCCTGAGAGTGTATAGCTTTGGCATGATGGTTGCTGTAATCTGAAGGGGAAAGTAGAAGTTTACATGTGAGCACTGAAGAAGCTTGAGACTGTCTCGCTCTGTCACCCAGGCTGGATGCAGTGGGGCCTTCTGGGCTCACTGCAACCTCCACAATTCTCCTGCCTCAGCCTCCCCAGTAGCTGGGATTACAGGTGCCTGCCACCACATCTGGCTAATTATGTTTTTCTTTAAAATTAGTTTTATTTAAAAAGTACAAGTAGCATCTTACTTTTACTTTTGCAAAAAGTAAAGAAATGGTGTTTCGTTGCAAAAATTAAACAAATAAATTTTGGATTGTAGAAAATTCATTAAAAACTCAAATTTTAATTTATTTAAAATCTATCTGGTGCTGTAAGTGTGGCTATTGGCAGATCTCTTTTTATTTATTTTTATTGATTTATTCATATTATCAATAACTAATTTTTAAATTATTATTCGTGAGCCCTTTCCCATGACAGCTTCTTGGAAATTTCTTTCTCTCCCATTAATCTAGTATGATCTCTCAGGCATATTTATTTAAAGTTCTTCCTCTCACTATTCCCTTCTTCACCATCATGCCTAGGTTAGTTACAAAGAACTAATTTAATGACCCATTTATTCTGAAGAGAGGCACAAGAAGTGAAGCTTCTTTCTGAGGCCTGAAGGGATCTCACCTCCTTAAATCTCTGTTTCCCTACCCCTACTTCAGATATTATTGAGACATTATATTTTCTTCCTCTACCTTCAGAAACTTCAGTATCAACAGGTCCAGATCTGCCTAAGCCCTCAGATGAGTCTGCAAACAATCATTGTGTCAACATTTGACTCATGCCTTGCAGATGATCCCAGGCACCGCTGTCTTAACCTGTGAAAACCGCAAATTCTTGGCACAAACAACTTCTTCTGCACATCCCTCCTCCTCATACATACAGTAAGGGACTTGGCCAAATTCCAACACAGCCTCTATCAGCTCAGAGCCACGTCCCTACGATGCCCCATACCCCTCTAAAGCACCTGCCTGGGAACATTCAATTCTGCCAAAAGAATTTACTGTTTGTCCCACCCAAAACTTGACTATAGGCCCCTGACCTCCCATTTCTAAGAGCCTTAACTTTAGAAAACTTGCAATTATGGCCAGGCGTGGTGGCTCAAATCCCATCACTTTCGGAGGCTGAGGAAGGTGGATCTTGAGGTCAAGAGAGCAAGACCATCCTGGCCAACATGGTGAAACCCCGTCTCTACTAAAAATACAAAAATTAGTTGGGCGTGGTGGCACACACATGTAGTCCCAGCTACTTGGGAGGCTGAGGCAGGAGAATCACTTGAACTTGGGAAGCGGAGGTTGCAGTGAGCCGAGATCGCCCCACTACACTCTAGCTTGGTGACAGAGTGAGATTCCGTCTAGAAAAAAAAAAAAACACAAAAAAACACAGAAAACCTGTAGTTATAAACCTTTTCTCTGTCCCTTTAAATCTCCTATAACACAGAATGTCTTTCTCAAAGACTTAGGAGCTATCCCTTTGGACTATAAGGATCAAGAAGGATACAGGATTGTCTCCTGGTCTCTGTCTCTGTGTAGGAACCTAACTTTGATAAGCACTATTAGCAAACACAGATGGCCTCATCACATTGACCAACCTTTCCCCAAACATCAGTCCATGCTTTTCCTTTAGCACACTCCAACATTTGCAGAGCCTCTTGCTTTTTGTTTCAGTGGAGTTGAGGCTTTCTAACATACTATAAATTGATATGTCTACTTATTGATTAGAAGACAGAAATTAATCACTGGATTTCATTATCACGCTGACTTTTAGGATTAAAAGCAGCCTGTGGTTACAGATGCAACATCTTTACATTTCGAAGAAAAACAGGAGAGATTTGTCTTTGGCTCCTTTGGACCTCACTGAGTAATAGAAAAGAGAGAATTGAACAGGTTTGGATGATACAGCACAAGTCAGTTTAAAGTTCCAGGCAAAGAAAGCAACGGTTATTTTTCACTCCAGAGAGTGAATCATTCTTTGGGGCCACAAAAGAGAAGATTTGAAGAATAAGCAGGGACATCTAGAAGGTGGCTGAGTGTACTCCATCAGGTTAAATTAAGCTATTTTGTTGTTGTTGTTCAAATAGCTTCCCCACAGGGTACATTTCATATCTAAAGTGCTATTCCCTCTCCCATCATTTTATTACATACGCAATATCTGGCTGAGAACCTCTTTCTTGCCCTCCTTCTTACTGGTTAAGAACACAGACAGTCCTCTCTTTGCACAGCAGTGCAGGGCCATACAAATCACTATGTAAGCTAAAGATCTGTAAAGTGACCTAAATAATCCATGTGAAACATCGACTGTTCTGTGTCATTTAAAAATTTTGGCCAAAACATTAAAAATCTCTTACTGTTGGTTATAAATGTATAAGGAAATGAAACATAGTGAAATTAGTACTTTTTTTTTTTTGAGATGGAGTCTCGCTCTGTCGCCCAGAATGGAGTGCAGTGGCACGATCTCGGCTCACTGCAAGCTCCACTTCTTGGGTTCAAGCGATTCTTCTGCCTCAGCCTCCCAAGTAGTTGTGGCATGCCACCACACCAGGCTGATTTTTTCTATTTTTAGTACAGACAGGGTTTCACTGTGTTAGCCAGGATGATCTTGATCTCCTGACCTCATTATCCGCCTCAGCCTCCCAAAGTGCTGGGATTACAGGAGTGAGCCACCGTGCCTGGTTGGGAGTACTTCATTTTTACACTGTAATTTAAAACATTAAACAACAGCCAATTAAAGTGCTTTATTTATTTATAGACGTGTATCAAGCCCAGTTTGAACAGTGCTTGCCTCCCTCTTGTCGTATAGCTTATGATAAGGAGCCAGCAGTGTTTCTATGCCTTGGTGAACTGTCGTGCTGTTTTCGGAACAGCATCTAACATTGTCAACGTCATGCAATATCTACAAGAGTTCCTTTAATATGAAGTTTGTTGCTGTCTTTGCCGGCATCACTTCCTCTGGGGCTTCTTCATCCTTTTCATCACAGCTGCGTTCCTCATTTATGTCAGAACACTGCGTTGCGCCAAGTTCCTCTTGCTGCGTTTCCTGTGGTGAGCCAATTCTATGATTCCATTTACATTGTATTTGAATACACTTCCAGGGTTATCACATTTTTTATTTCTTTGCCGCACATCAATGGTTGTTGACCAGTTTTTTCTTCTGATTATTCATATTTATAAATGTCACATGGGTTTCTCACTGGGAGACAAGGAGTCAACACGATTGCAGACTCTGCTGTCTGTGTGCGAACTAGCAGATGCACAGTGAGCAGTCACTGACAGGCTTTGAAGGAGGTGAATTGTGTCCCCCTAAAAAGATATGTTTGAAATCCTAATCCCCAATATCTCAAAATAATATGATCTTATTTGGAAATAGCACATTTACAGAGGTTCTCAAGTTAAAATGAGGTCATTAGGGTGGGTCCTAATCCAATAGACTAACTGGTGTCTTATAATAAAGGAGAATTTGGATACAGCTCCAGACACACACACAAAAAAGACGATGTGAAGACACATAGAGAAAACAGAGTGATATATCTGTAGATCAGACAACACCAAGGATGGCTGGCAAACCCAAACAGGAAGGAGAGGGGAAGAAGGATTCTCCCCTAGAGCCAGCAGAGAGCGTGAACCTGCCAACACATTGATTTCTGACTTCTAGCCTCCACAACTACGAGTCAATACATTTCTGTTGTTTTAAGCAACCCGGCTTTTCATACTTTGTTGCAGCATCCCCACAAGATTAATACAGTCCCTAATCATGATGCTTGCCTGTTATTTACTCACATAGGCATTTGTGGAATTAAGAGCTGGGAATGAAGTTTGGATTTTATGCAGTTGCTCACAGTTAGCATATTGTGGTAACTGAAATTGTAACCACGTTTTTGGGAGACTAGTGCTATTTAACTAAACTATGTTAATTAAACCTGTGCATATTCAAATGTGCAAATCCAGGACTGTTTTTACTTAGTTCAGGTATTTAGAGGGAAAGAATGTTTGCCTCTTTTCAGGGCCTTAGAGCATGCCCTGTGCCAGCAGGCCCCTTCCACAGCTACTTAACATCTCTTCTCATCTTGCCAGCCACCTCTCAACTCAGATGACCAGCAAGGCCATCTTTGACTATCAAAATGAAGTAGCCCCTCTCCGCTTTTGACTACGTTCACTTGCTTTATTGTCTTTATAGCATTTTTATTTACTAAAATAACATTTTTTTCATTACTTGATTTTTTTCTTGATTCAGTACTTCTAAAAAATGCAGATTAAAATTCCAATGACAAACCAAGTTAACTAATGTTAAAAAGTGTGATACTGGCCAGGCACGGTGGCTCATGCCTGTAATCCCAGCATTATTGGAGGCTAAGGCAGGCAGATCACAAAGTCAGGAGATCGAGACCAACCTGGCTAACACGATGAAACCCCGTCTCTAACAAAAATACAAAATTTAGCCAGGCGTGGTGGTAGGCACCTGTGGTCCCAGCTACTTAGGAGGCTGAGGCAGGAGAATGGTGTGAAACCAGAAGGCGGAGCTTGCAGTGAGCTGAGATCACGCCACTGTACTCCAGCCTGGGTGACAGAGCGAGACTCTGTCTCAAAAAAAAAAAAAAAAAAAAAACTGTGATACTATTAGGTATTGTTGAGAATATAGATCTATCAGAACCTTTAACTTCTAATGGGAGCATAAATCGGAAAACAGTTCATTTTAACTTAGTGTACAAATCTTTTGACACAATGATTTGAATGTTGGGTTTATACCTTAGAGAAAATCTAACTCTTATGTCCAGGAGACTCATACAAGAAAAGGACATCTACTTTTTGTAACAGAAAAAAATGGATAATAACCCCAATCTAATAAAATGGAATGCTCATTATAGTATTATCCTGTGAAGGAATACTCTAAATCAATGCACAGAAAGTACAGATAAGAATATCATAAGAATGAATCTTACAAATTTAATATTGAACCAAAAAGCAATTTCAGAAAAATATATTCAGTGTAATCCCATTTGTTTAAACTGAAAAACATGTAAAACAATAATGTTCAATGTCCTTTACTAATGCATTTATTTTGGCAAAATTATAAAGACAAGAAATGGGACTAATTAACAGGACAGTGTTAAGGACTCTAAAAATATGGGTAGTTTTTGATTCTTAGGCAGGTAATGTGTACATCAGTGTTCATTTTATTATTTCTTACGCTGTCTTCATGACTTACACATATTTTGCTAGTTTTAAAACATAAGATGTGATAATAATCTAAACACACCAAAGGAAAAAAATGAATATGTTAAAAAAAAGACAGAGAATGAGCCCTGTCTGATAGAAAGCATAACAAAGCAAGTAGAAGAACTCTCACGAATGCTTGATCCAATAAAGCTAGGTTTGTGATCCACAACACTTCAGCATTTTAATGTGATTTTTGATGTTTGCTTTTTGCAACGGTGATTCTCAGTTGCCTCCCTCCTATGTCTTTACAAGCTGAAATCAAGTGAAGCTACTTCTGACTTTTTTTAAAACTAAAACACAACATGAAGGTCTGCGTATTCTTTCACATGTGAACGTATGTGGCACTTTTCCATGATGCAACAGCAGCGGGTCTCTAGCTAAGCTACAGCAGCAGCTCTAAGAGGCAGAGGACCCTGAAATGAGGCTGAAAGAAAGAATAGTCCATAACTGACATCAGGCAGGCTGCTGTTGTAAGCAAAGAAAGGAGGCTCACAGGGGCGCGGACTCAGGCCAGGTCAGGCTATTGTGGGAGAACACGGAGCACACGTGTCAGCTGGAAAGGGGCCGGCTCAGGAGACAAAATAGGCACGAGAGGAAACCGAAAAATTGACATACGTGACTATCCTTGTAGAAATGTATAAAGGTTTGGATTATTTTGCTTATCGAGTTATAATAAACTTATTCTAAAAATGTTTATGTAAAGTATTATGTACATTTTTGTTTTACCTTATAAAGATTATTTATATTTGAATTGTGTGGTTTTGGAATGACAGTATTTATAAAGTTGGTTTTGACATTCTCTACGATGCTTAATGAAGAAACTGACGTTCAAAGAGATTGGTTAATTCCCTGTGGCCAGTGGCTGAGCTGGGACAGAGTTCAGGTTTTCTGATTCTCAGCCTATGTTGTTTTCTCTTCATTTTAATGTGAACCTAAATAGGTATAGGATCTAGACAAATATGACATGTAGTGCCTTATTTCTTGTTTTCTCTGTAATGAATGCCAGGTGAGATAACTTTATTTACAAAAGCCCATCCAGTGGCTCAGGTTGCATCTGTAGTTGCCTTTGAATCATTTATTCAACGTCAGGATGGTAAAGTGAGGAGCTTCCCCAAACTGAAGCAGAGTGGCATTTGTCCCAGGTTGTAGAGTGTTCCCTGCCATAAATAAAGACATGCTGGTTCTTGTTATTTATACAGGCACTGGGGTTCCCATTAGCTCTTACATTTCATATGCTTAGAGCAAGAAGCTAGAGAGTGACTTAGGATACAGTGTAAAGATAGTAAATTAAGGCAGTTCTGCAAGATTTTTAGGACTTCTTTTTTTCTTCTATTCATCATTTATGAAGTATTCTTGCTGGAAATAGTTTATGTCTCTCTATCTTGCTGACTGATGAATACTCGGCCAGGATGCTAAAATGTGGTTTCATGAAGTATGTTGTGTTTCTGTCTGTTCTTGTTTCCTTCCTTGAAATGTGTAAAAGTGAAAAACATATTAATCATAAATCAAGCATTCATCATAAGCCTAAAAAAAGATAAAATAATCAGTAGTATCATTGACTAAAATTATTACTCACCAAAAGAAACTCACTCCAAAGTTAGCACAATACTAACAGAGAATCCTAGTTTTGCCAGGAATCACTGAGGCATAGTACCTCACATGGGAAACATGGGAAGTAAAACCACCTGAGGAGCCGCTTGATGGTGAGTCAGGCTGTTCCTCGAAGAGCAGGCTGTGACTGCCAAACTTTGTAGGTTAAGGAGTATTTATAATGATCTTTGAGGAAACTGCAACTGACAATTGAGGAAAAAAAATGTTAGTTCATGACTGCAAAATACATGACAGAATCACAAAAAGTATTTTACAAGTTTAAAAAACGAACCTGATGCTGATGCAAGGTAGGCGAACCCCAAAGCGGGGCTTAGCCTGCAAGGGTTCTTGGCTTCACCCAGGAAAGGATTCAAGGGCGAGCCAGTGGTAAGGTGGAAGAAAACACCTTTATCAAAGCAACACTGTTACAGCTCCTGTGGGGTCACAGCTCAGTGACTGCTCCCAGGGTTGCCCCATAGGCAGGGTGTCGAGAGTAGTGGCTGAGCCCAGTTTTGCAGTCATATGTATACCTACTTTTAATTACATGCAGATTCAGGGATGGTTTGTGCAGAAATTGTTAGGAAAATGGTGGTAATTTTTGGGTCATCAGGTCATTGCCGCTGAAAGGGGTGGTAATGCCTGAGTGTTGCCATGGCAATGGTAAACTGACAGGGCACACTGGTGGGTGTGTCTTACAGAAAGCTGCTTCCGCTCTGTCCTTGTTTAGCTAGCCCTCAATCTTTTGTTTGTAAATTAGCAAGAGAGTCATGGCCTTGGCGTTTTATCCCAGAAGTACAGTGGACCCCAGAGCACTCTAGACCCAGGAGCCAAACCAAATCACAGCATCCCACAGTTGTGTCCAGCCCTCCATCACTGATTGGCTGCAATCCAACAAGTGGCCCAGAGGGGAGGGTTCATTGAAAGCTCTTTGCTAAGTGACAGGCCTTTAAGGAGGAAAAGGCTCTTAAAGATTGGTATGGGATGGGGGAAGTGTTTGTGGTCACCACGGCACCCCAAGGCTGTGGCCTTCTCTGAGCACCCTGAGACTCAGCCATGTCTTTCTCTCTGTTTTCCCACAAAACCAGCCAGTGCTAAAGCATATCCTCCTGGCCTACAAACAGTGGCCATGACTTCCAACTCATCCAGGCTACTTCTGATTTAGTGTTAGGCCGCCCACTTGATGTGTATGTTCCCATGCTGTGTCGACCCTATTACTTAATGAAAACACACAGCACTCGTTTGCTTCTCAACTTACTTCTCATGAAATATTACTACTCCTCCCCACCCAATCACAATCCTTTGCTGCCAAAAATCCCTTGCTACCCTGTACATTTTGCCCAATAAGGGAACCCCTCAGCACACACACACAATGGCCTACTCAGAAGGCTGAGTCAGCAGAATCACATGAACCAGGGAGTTGCAGGTTGCAGTGAGCCAAGATCGCGCCACAGTGCTCCAACCTGGCGACAGAGCAAGACTCTGTCTCAAAACAAACAAACAAACAAAAAACAAAAAAAATGCCTCACTCATCTCACTTATGTAATCATGACAGTACCATTAATTGTATTATCCCTATAATACAGATGACAGCTGCCAAAAATATGCAGAGAAGGGTTAATTAAACTGCATAACATTACTCAGAGAATGCATTCTTTTTATTCCATAGGTTTTTCTATTACAGTACTACATACACAGAGGCCTTCCATTGGAAATAACTTATAGGAATTACTGTAGGTCTCTTTGCACTTTCTTCAGCTCTTGGTTTAGGTCTCAGATTGTGAGTGATTTCTCTCTTTAGTGAAGTTGTAATGCAATTCATTACCATAGCAGAAAACACAGAAAATATTACCTATTTATTAACTGGAAATGCACTCACATCTTGTATTAGTCCATTCTCATGCTGCTATGAAGAAATATCCAAGACTGGGTAATTATAAAGAAAAGAGGTTTAATTGATTCACAGTTCCACATGGCTAGGGAAGCCTCAGGAAACTTACAATCATGGCAGAAGGCACCTCTTCATATGGTGGCAGCAGAAATAATGAGTTTTGAGCAAAGGGGAAGCCCCTTATAAAATGATCAGATCTCATGAGAACTCACCCACCATCATGAGAACAGCATGGGGGCAACTACCCCATGATTCAATTATGTTCACCTGATCCTACCCTTTACACTTGGGGATTATGGGAACTGCAATTCAAGATGCGATTTGGGTGGGGACACAGAGCCAAATCATATCATTCTGTCCCTGGCCCCCCTCCAAGTCTCATGTCCTCACATTTCAAAACACAATCATACCTTTCCAACAGTTCCCCAGAGTCTTAGCTCATTACAGCATTAACCCAAATGTCCAAGTCCAGAGTTTCATCTGAGTCAAGTCCCTTCCACCTATGAGCCTGTAAAATCAAAAGCAAGTTAGTTACTTTGTAGATACAATGGAGGCACAGGCATTGGGTAAATACACCCATTCCAAATGGGAGAAATTGGCCAAAACAAAGGGGCTACAGGCCCTATGCAAGTCTGAAATCCAATAGGGCAGTCATTAAACCTTAAAGTTCCAAAATGTTCTCCTTTGATTCCAGGTCTCACATCCAGGTCACACTGATGCAAGAAGTAAGCTCCCATGGCCATGGGCAGCTCCACCCCTGTGGCTTTGCAGGGTACAACCCCCTCCTGGCTGCTTTCATGGGCTGGCATTGAGTGTCTGTGGCTTTTCCAGGGGCACAGTGAAAGTTGTCAGTGGATCTACCATGCTGGGGTCTGGAGGACAGTGACCCTCTTCTCACAGCTCCACTAGGTAGTACCCCAGTGAGGACTCTGTGTGGGGGCTCCAACCCCACATTTCCATTCTGCACTGTCCTAGCAGAGGTTCTCCATGAGGGCTTTGCCCCTGCAGCAAACTTCTGCCTGGGTATCCAGGCATTTCCATACATCCTCTGAAATCCAGGTGAAGGTTCCCAAACCTCAATTCTTGACTTCTGTGAACCCACAGGCTCAACACCACATGGAAGCCTCCAAGGCTTGGAGCTTGGACCCTCTGAAGCAATGGCCTGAGCTGTACCTTGGCCCCTTTTAACTGTGGCTGGAGCTGAAGCATCTGGGAGACAGGGCACCATGTCTCAAAGCTGCATAGAACAGGGGGTCTTGGGCCCATGAAACCATTTTTCCCTCCTAGGTTTCCAGGCCTGTGATGGGAGAGGCTGCCAAGAAGGTCTCTGACTTGCCCTGGAGACATTTCCCTCATTGTCTTGGTAATTAGTATTCCACTCCTTGTTCTGCAAATTTCTGCAGCTGGCTTGAATTTCTCCCAAGAAAATGGGTTTTTCTTTTCTATCGCCTTGTCAGGCTGCAAGTTTTCCAAACTTTTATGCTCTGCTTCCTCTTGAACACTTTGCTGCTTAGAAATTTCTTCCACGAGATACCCTAAATCATCTCTCTCAAGTTCAAACTTCCACAGCTCTCCAGGGCAGGGGCAAAGTGTTGCAGTCTCTTTGCTAAAGCATAGCAAGAATCACCTTTATCCCAGTTCCCAACAAGTTCCTCATCTCCATCTGAGACCACCTCAGCCTGGACTTCATTTTCCATGTCACTATCAGCATTTTGGTAGAAGCCATTCAAGTCTCTAGGAAGTCCCAAACTTTCCCACATCTTCTTGTCTTCCAAGTCCTCCAAGTCTCTAGGAAGTTCCACACTTTCCCACATTCTTCTGTCTTCTTTTTTTTTTTTTGAGATGGAGTTTCGCTCTTGTTGCCCAGGCTGGAATGCAGTGGTGCAATCTCTGCTCACTGCAACCTCCACCTCCCATGTTCAAGCCATTCTCCTGCCTCAGCCTCCCAAGTAGCTGTGATTACAGGCATGCATCACGATGCCCAGCTAATTTTATATTTTTAGTAGAGATGGGGTTTCACCATGTTGGCCAGGCTGGTCTCAAACTCCTGACCTCAGGTCATCCACCTGCCTCGGTCTCCCAAAGTCCTGGGATTACAGGGATGAGCCACCACACCCAGCCTTTACTGTCTTCTTCTGAACCCTCCAAACTATTCCAACCTCTGCCTGTTGCCCAGTTCCAAAGTCACTTCCACATTTTAGTGTATCCTTATAACAGCACCCTATGTCTGTGGTACCAATTTACTGTATTAGTCTGTTTTCATGCTGTTATGAAGAACTCCTCAAGACTGGGTAATTTATAAAGAAAAGAAGTTTAATTGACTCATAGTTTCACATGGCTGGGGATGCCTCAGGAAACTTACAATCATGGCCAAAGGCACCTCTTCACAGGGTGGCAGCAGAAACAATGAGATCTGAGTGAAGGAAGAAGCCCCTTATAAAACCGTCAGATCTTGTGAGAACTCACTATCACAAGAACAGCCTGGAGAAAACCACCCCTGTGATTCAATTATGTCCATCTGGTCCCACCCTTGACACATAAGGATTATGGGAATTACAAGATTACACATTAATCTTAAATTACACATTAATAAGTGTGTAATGAAACATCCCCTTTTTTTATTTGAGTTCATTTCAATAGATATGGAAATAATAGAAAATGCATCTGACATCAAATTCCTGGGAAGTACAGGCAAAAAAAAAAAAAAAAAAAAAACAGATCTTTAAAGGTATTTGAATAAGTAAATGTTGCAGCCAAACCATATCACTTGTTAAAAATGCACATTAACCATTGAATCAAAACCATATATAAGCTTAGATAATTCAATTTCAACCAGATTATTCCTTTTATTCTTTAAATGATGGAGAACATTATAGCCATAGGCTCGTGCTGACAATTTTTCCTTAAATGAATGAAAAGATGAATTTATTTTTCTCAAAGAATTCTGTACCATTATAGGAATAAAAGATCAGCAGTTGTAACAGGGAATGGCCAAAAAGCCTGAAATAACATTGCTGTTAAGAATTAGCTGTTACAAAATCGCCCCAAGAAATCTCAGTGCTCCACAAACTTCACATGGTTGAAGGCCATAATTATTATAAAAGTTGAACTATGTTAATTCAGAGATCACTGTCATTATTACTCTCAAGGATCCAAGAGCCATGCATAATCCCAGAACATTGCGTACCTAATCAGGAATGGAGAAGTAATGTCCTTTTGAATTTTATACCTCTGGGGCTGCCCATAAAAATCTTAGGATTTTGAGCTCTTTGAGGGTCATGATTTTTACCTCTATTCTCTTTGTGTCCACAAACATCTAAGATATCAGTAATGTTATTCACTAATTTGCTGACAAAGAGGAAATTGAATAAAATTTAAATATATTTACTCTGAAAGTAATAAAATTTAAATATATTTACTCTGACTATATGATCTTTAGAATAAACTAATTTTTCAGTGATTCATTCTGCACAATTTTAAATCTTTTTCATAGTAACCTCAGTTTGCGTGACTTTAAATGGGAAAACTCACATTTTAAATGTATAATGAAACATCCTCATTTTTGATTTGAGTTCATTTCAATAGATATGGAAATAATAGAAAATGTCCCTGAGGTCAAATTCCTGGGAAGTAGAAGCAAAAAAATACCAGATCTTTAAAGGTATTTGAATAAGTAAATGTTGCAGTCTGTACTTTATCAGTAAGCTATGATACAAAAAACAATGCATGGCAGTTGCTTGTCAATTTTGTGATTTATTCAGAAACATACATCTCTGCATACACTTACAGTTTTATACAGTAGTGCAAAACGTCAAAAGCACTGATGTTGCTCAAAGGAAATGTTAAGGAGCTAACTAAGGCTCGCTGCAAATTCCTTCACAAACCCGTCCAATCCTGTGAGCGTCGAGCGGCCTTCACATCACAGCCTGCATCCTGACAGGCCTGTGAGACCCATCCCGCTTCATGGAACGTGAGTCAGCAGCTCAGGGAAGGACAAGGACATCTACATAATTGGCTTGAAATATTCAACTTTTCAAAATTTTATATTTTCATACATATAAATATATATTCTAAAAATGTATTTTTGTTTTTCTATCCGAACAGAAGTGCAATAATTCTTTAAAAATACTTCTAAACAGACCGGGGCAGTGGCTCACACCTGTAATCCCAGCCCTTTGGGAGGCCGAGGCAGGTGGATCACAAGGTCAGGAGATTGAGACCATCCTGGCTAACACGGTGAAACCCTGTCTCTACTAAAAATACAAAAAAATTAGCCAGGTGTGGCGGCGGGCGACTGTAGTCCCAGCTGCTGGGGAGGCTGAGGCAGGAGAATGGCGTGAACCCGGGAGGCGGAGCTTGCAGTGAGCCGAGATCGCGCCACTGCACTCCAGCCTGGGTGACAGAGCGAGATTCTGTCTCAAAAAAAAAAAAAAAAAAAAGATAGAAAATAGCATTAACCTTGAAGGACGCTTTACGCCAAATGGACCTAATAGACACATACAGAAACTTCACCCAACAGCAGCAGAATACACATTCTTCTCAGGGACACATAGAACATTCTGCAGGATAGACAACAGGTTAGACCACAAGATGAATCTTTGCAAATTTAATATTAGAATCATATCAAGTACCTTTTCAGACAACAATGATATGACACTAGAAACCAACAATAGAAGGAATTCCAGAAAATGTACGAATACGTGGAAACTAAGCAACATGGTGGTGAACCACCAATAGGTCAATGAAGAAATGAAAATTAAAAGAATTAAGCAACATGCTCTTGAACAACCAATAGGTCAATGAAGAAATTAAACAAGAAATGTAAAAATATCTTGAGAAAAACAAAAATGGAAACACAACATACCGAAACTTATGAGATACAGCAAAAGCATTTCTAAGAGGAAAGTTTATAGCAATAAACATCAACAGCAAAAAGAAGAAAGATCTCAAATAAACAACTTAGTATTATGCCTCAAGGAAATAGAAAAAGGATATCAAATTCTTCCAATGTTAGCAGAAGGAAATAAAATAATAAAGATCAGAGCAAAAATAAGTGAAATGAAAACTAGAAAATGACACAAAAGATGAACAAAACTAAGTTTCTTAAAAATATAAAACCAATAATCTTTTAGCTAGACTAAGAAAAAAGGAGAGAAGACTCAAATAAATAAAATTAGAAATGAAAAAGGAGACACTATAACTGATACCACAAAAATACAAAGGATCATAAGAGACTGTTACAATTACATGCCTTTACAAAAATCATTTTTTCATTGGCAACAACATTGGAAAATGTTACGCTAAAAGAAATAAGCGAAGCCAAAAAAGACAAAAACTTCATGTTCTCAATTATATGTGGAATCTAAAACAATCAAACTGAAAGAAGCAGAGAGCAGAATGGTCATTAGCAGAGGCTGGAGGTGCGGGGTGGAATGGATAGATATTGGTCAAAAGGTACAAAGCCTCATTTATACAAAAGGAATAATAAGGGTTTTTTTTCTTTGAGATATATTGCAAAACTTGGTGAAAATAGTACATAGTAAAGAATTCTACATTTTAAAAATCACTAAGAGAGTAAATTTCAAATGCATTCCCCATTAAAAATGACAAGTATTTGAGGTGGTGGATGTTAATTAGCTTGATATAATTATTCCAAATTGTATTCATAAATTATATCATCATTTTGTACTCCATAAATATACACAACTATGATTTGTCAATTTACAATTTAAAAATAAAAATCAAAGCACAAAACAAAACAAGAAAACACAATACGTGTGTGTGTACCTATGCATGTGTGCGTCCATACAAGTGCACACACACACCCCCTTCACCTCCATTACTTTCCAAAGTGGACAAATGTGTAATTATTTCTAATTAATCATTAGAAATACATCAAGGAACAAGTACAATAAGGCAAGTAAATTTACTGATATCCCATCAGAGATAAGTGGGACATTGCAAATTAACAACAATGGAGGAACAAACCACAGTTTATTTTCTTACTTTATGAGACATCCTTTTTGAATTTTGAAAAATTATAGAGAAGTATCTTTAATTTGGTGTAGATGCTTAGTTATTCAAAAGGGAACTTAGAAAAATTAGAAGCAGGCCACTTCATTATTTTTCACAATAATAACCAATATGAAACTTTTCCTGGAAGACTAAAATCTTACCACAAAGAAATTAAGCAAAAACATTGGGCACTTCTTATATAAATACAGCCTGTTTTGAAATGGTATGTTTTTTAATTTTTACAAACATTTTCACTTGCAGATAATTTCGCATGTGCATAAAAGTTGAAAAAATATGCAAAGAACTCCCATATACCTACCCTTTACCCAGGTTTATCAATTGTTAACAGATCATCACACTTGTTTATTCTAGATAGGTATTGATATAGATATACACACACATTTTTCTGAATTATCTAAGAGCAAGATGCAGACAGTATGCCCCTTTATTTCTATACACTAGTGTAGATTTCCTAGGAACAAAGTCATTCCTTAAAGGAGGAAATTCAGTGAGGCTTTCTGCAGTAAATGACATTCTGAGCCAGCTGATTTGGCCTTGTGACCAATATGAGGGACTATTTAACTTTGTATTTTTTTATCTCCTTCTTTCTTTACACCCAGTTATATTGTTTTCCATTTCGTTTACTCGCATAAATGTCAGATTTGTCCATGTGATTTATCAGGTTTATCAGAATATCAACTTGAATCTTTTCTTTTCTCTAACATTTATCTAAATATCTCAGGAGACTCTCATCCTTCCTTCTCTCCTTTATTCCATTTGCAAAGTTAAAAAAAAAGCCTCAATTATGGCATTTCAGTATTCATAGTAGTGCAGATAATACATTTATATCAAGGAAAAGAAACGCATTTTAGGCCAGGCGCGGTGGCTCACGCCTTTAATCCCAGCACTTTGGGAGGCCAAGGCGAGCGGATCAAGAGGTCAGGAGATGGAGACCATCCTGGCCAACATGATGAAACCCCGTCTCTACTAAAAATACAAAAATTAGCTGGATGTGGTGGCGCGTTCCAGTAGTCCCAGCTACTCCGGAGGCTGAGGCAGGAGAATTGCTTGAACCCGGGAGGCGGAAGTTGCCGTGAGCCGAGATGGTGCCATCGCACTCCAGCCTGGCGACAGAGCGAGATTGTCTCTCAAAAAAAAAAAAATGCATTTCAAAGGTAAGGAGACATAATATAGAATTTGTACACCAGATTCTGAACTTATGACTATTTTTAAAGGATAATTTGAAAGTTATACCAGAATATGCTGCTTCTTGATTTGGTCTTATTTTGCTCTTTTTATTTCTTGTTTTTGTTTGTTGTTTGAGGTAGGAATTTAGTTGGTTGAGGACTTTATCACTTCTAATATAAACATTTAGTAATAAAAATTTTCCTCTCACCTCTGCTTCAGCTGCATCTTACATATTTTCATATACCTTATTTTTATTTTAAATCAGTTGTATGCACTTTAGTATATTGTCAACAAGATAATATTTCTAAAATAAAAACCAAGACATCAAGGGTTTACTTTCTGAACATTTCTTAACATTAAATCAGCACAGCATCTTCCCAGATCTTTTCGTTTTTGGATGGCTCCATACTTTATTCCCTACCCACTTCCTCTTTCCTTTAAAGAATGATTAACAGATTCCATAGACAATATCAAATAAAACCCGAAACATAACCAAAGTAATTGGAAGTAAAAGAGAAGGAAGGGTAAGATAGTTAACATAAACATGAACCAGTTTATACACTTTTTAATAATGTTTTTCTTTTACTTAAAAAATAAGTAGAGTGTAAAGGTAGTCCTTTGTTTAATCACTGAATCTCAAACTGTTTACTACAGAATAAAACAAGTAAAATAAATCATCATCCATTATAAGCTTAATCAAGATGAGCACTGTTTAATCCTGATTAATTTATAACTAATTTTCTGCTGCTGGTACACTTTTTAAAAACAGCTTTGTTTAGCCATAATTTAAATTTTGTGTAATTTACTCACTTAAAATGTTTCATACATATTAATATATTCATTCAGTTGTTCAATCATCACCAAAGTTTCATTTTATAACATTTTTGGTACCCTCAAAGAGTCCCAGTACCCATTAGCAGTCACTTCCCATTCCTCCTCCACCTTACATCATTAGGCAACCACTGTCTAAACTTGCCTGTTTGGGAGATTTTATATAAACGGAATAATACAAAATGCACTCTTTGGTTCTGGTTTCTTTTATGCAGCATGATATTTACAAGAATATAATATTTTCACCCAGGTTGCAGCATGTGTTAGTACTTCATTCCTTTTGTTGGTCAATAACATGATATCATATATACGATATATGATACACCATATTGTATTTATCCATTCATCAGTTAATTAACATTGGGGTTGTTTTTACTTTTTGGCTATTATAAGTAATACTGTAATAAATATTAAAATTTTTTAAGAGCTTGTGAAGAATGGCACTAATTCTTCTTTAAATGATTGGTAGATATTATTCTAGAAATGATATCATTTCGTCAACATTATCTAATATGTTGACATTCTTTTTTTCATAGTACCTTTAATAGTTCTTTTTATTTCTATAAGGTCAATAGTAATGTCCCTCTTTCATTCTTAATTTTAGTAAGTTGAATCTTTCTTTCTCCCTGTAAGTGTAGCTAAAGTTTGTTAATTTTGTTAATCTTTTTAAAGACCCAACTCTTGGTTTTGTTGATTTGCTCTACCATTTTTTCTATTTCTTTAATTTCTATTTCAGTGTTTATTATATCCTTTCTTCTGCTTATTTTTCATCATGATCTCATCTCTGACTCATTGGTTATTTAGAAGTATGTAGCTAATTTTTATAAGTTCTGCTTTTCCCAAAGTTCTTTCTGTTTTTAATTTCTAATTTAATTCCACTTTGATCAAAGAACAATCATTTTCTACTTTTTTTGAGGTTTGGTTTTTGGCCTAGCATGTGATCTATTTTAGGAACTGTTCCATGTGCACTTGAGAGTAATGTTCTGCTTTTGGGTGTACTGTACTGTCATCTAGCTAGTTTATACTGTTACTCAAATCCTCCATATTCTTGCTAGCATCTATTTAGCTTTTCTGATTATCGAAAGTGAGATACTGATGTCTGCTACGATTACCATCTCCAACTATTATTGTTGAATTCTACCTTTAATTCACCTTTAATTCTACCTTTAATTTTTGCTTTGTAGATTTTGGAAAAATTTCGTTCAGTGCACATAGGTTTATAATTTTTATACCTTCTTGACATATTGTCTCTTTAACATTACAGCATGTCCTTCTTTATCTCTGATGTATCAGTCTGTTCTCACAGTGCTAATAAAGACATACTTGCGACTGGGTAATTTATAAACGAAAGAGGTTTGACCTGGCTAGGGAGGCCTCACAATCACGGTGTAAGGCAAGGAGGAGCAAAGTCACATCTTACAATCATAGCGGCACGCAAGAAAGCATGCTTTATAAAAGCATCACATGGCCGGGCGCTGTGGCTCACGCCTGTAATCCCAGCACTTTGGGAGGCCGAGGCGGGCGGATCATAAGGTCAGGAGATCAAGACCATCCTGGCTAACACGGTGAAACCCCGTCTCTACTAAAAATGCAAAAAAATTAGCCGGGCGAGGTGGCGGGCGCCTGTAGTCCCAGCTACTCCGGAGGCTGAGGCAGGAGAATGGCGTGAACCCCGGGGGGCGGAGTGTGCAGTGAGCCGAGATCGCGCCACTGCACTCCAGCCTGGGCGACAGCGAGACTCCGTCTCAAAAAAACAAAAACAAACAAAAACAAACAAACAAACAAAAAAGCATCACATAACTGGTATGAGATAGTATCTCATTGTGGTTTTGATTTGCCTTTCTCTAATGACCAGCGATGATGAGCTTTTCTTCATATGTTTGTTGGCTGCATAAATGTCCTCTTTTGAGAAGTGTCTGTTCATATCCTTTGCCCACATTTTGATGGGGTTGTTTGTCTCTTGTAAATTTGTTTAAGTTCTTTGTAGATTCTAGATATTCGCCTTTTGTCAGATGGACAGATTGTAAAAATTTTCTCCCATTCCGTAGGTTGCCTGTTCACTCTGATGATAGTTTCTTTAGCTGTGCAGAAGCTCTTTAGTTTAACCAGATCCCATTCGTCTATTTTGGCTTTTGTTGCCATTGCTTTTGGTGTTTTAGTCATGAAGTCCTTGCCCATGCCTATGTCCTGGATGGTATTGCCTAGATTTTCTTCTAGGGTTTTTATGGTTTTAGGTCTTATGTTTAAGTCTTTAATCCATCGTGAGTTAAATTTTGTATAAGGTGTAAGGAAGGGGTCCAGTTTCAGTTTTCTGCGTATGGCCAGCCAGTTTTCCCAATACCATTTATTAAATAGGCAATTATTTCCGCATTGCTTGTTTTTGTCAAGTTTCTCAAAGATCAGATGGTTGTAAATGTGTGGTGTTATTTCTGAGGCCTCTGTTCTGTTCCATTGGTCTATATCTCTGTTTTGGTACCAGTACCATGCTGTTTTGGTCACTGTAGCCTTATAGTATACTTTGAAGTCAGGTAGCATGATGTCTCCAGCTTTGTTCTTTTTACTTTTGCATCTTTTAAAGAAGCTGAGGAAGAAAGGAGGGCAAGTATACATTTGTAAAGTTTGTGATATTAATCTTCTTATCTGCCATTTCTGGTTCTCTTTATTTTTGTACACCTGAAAAACCATCTGGTGTCAACCTATTGGTTGGTCCAATATGGATTTGCTCATATCCTTTTGCCATTATTGTCAAATATATTACATTTCCATAGGTTATGAATCCAACAATCTGTGTATATACATATCATTTTATGCAATTGCATTTTAAATCATTTAAGGAAAGAAGACAAAATATCCAATTATACTCTAAAAATTATCTACATAATTCAATTTACCAGCCTCTTTGTTTTCTCATATGGGGTTGAACACGTATCAGGAATCAGCTTGGAAATCTTTTGTTAGTGTTAATAAATATCAAGATAAATCTTCCAGCAACACATTTTCTCAATTTTTGTTTATATGAAAATGTCTATTTTTTTTTTTTTTTTCCGAGACAGAGTCTTGCTCTGTTGCCCAGGCTGGAGTGCAGTGGTGCGATCTTGGCTCACTTCAAGCTCCGCCTCCCAGGTTCACACCATTCTCCTGCCTCAGCCTCCCGAGTAGCTGGGACTACAGGCGCCCGCCACCACGCCTGGCTAATTTTTTCTATTTTTAGTAGAGACGGGGTTTCACCATGTTAGCTAGGATGGTCTCGATCTCCTGACCTTGTGATCCACCCACCTCTGCCTCCCAAAGTGCTGGGATTACAGGAGTGAGCCACCACGCCCAGCCAGAAAATGTCTATTTAATCTTAAGTCTTAGCATATAGTTTTGCTAGATATAAGATTCTTGGTCTCTTATTTTCTTTAATCACTTTTAATATGTCATTCCACTTTCTTCTGCCTTCTATTACTTATGATGAGCAATTAGTTTTTAATCTTATTGGAGTTTCCTTTATGTGATAAATCTATATATGAATATCAATTGGATCCTGTTGTTGAACTGTGTAGTTCATAT
Organism: Homo sapiens; assembly: GCF_000001405.40. Lineage (NCBI taxonomy): Eukaryota > Metazoa > Chordata > Mammalia > Primates > Hominidae > Homo > Homo sapiens. The sequence goes on from NC_000009.12 coordinate 67,039,594, forward strand.
TTTTCTATATCTATGCGAATTTTCTGACTAGTAATTCTGTCAGCTAGTGAGAAGGTTGGAATCCCCAACTATAATTGTAGATTTGTCTATTTCTTCTTTCAGTATTCTCTGCTTTTGCTCCATGTATTTTAAAATTCTGTTGGTTTATATACATTTAGGATCATTGTGTCTTCATAGTAGCTTGGCTTTTAAAAATATGTAATATCTTTCTTTGTCTTTAGTAATTTTCCTTACTCTGAAGTCTCTCCATCAGATATTAATATAGCCATTCCTGCATTATTTTGTTAATATTTGCATATTATGTCTTTTTCATGCATTTAATTTCAATTTACCTATTTTATTAAATGTAAAGTAGGTTTCTTATAAACAGCTTATGATTAGGATATTTTGAAATCTACTTTGCTAATCTCTCACTTTTTATTAATGTATTTAGATAATTTTAAAAAATAAGATGCTTCATTTTTTACTAAGTTTTAGGTTTACAGAAAAAAAGATGAAAGAAAAAAACAGTTCCCGTATACCTCCCTGCAGTTTCTCCTATTTTTAGCATCTTACATGAGTGTGGCACATTTGTTAGAATCCATGACCCAGTATTGATACACCATTAGTTACTAAAGCCCATAGTTTATATTAGGCTTCACTCTTTGTGATTGACGTTCCATGGGTTTGGACAAATATATAATGGCATGTATCCAAAATTACTCTGTCATACATAACAGTGTTACTATTCTGAAAATCTCTTGTGTTCAATTTACCCCTAGTCCCCTTTCCCTCAAACTCCTGGCAATCACTGAGCTATTTACTGTGTCTGTAATTTTTCATTTTCCAGAATGCCATGTAGTTGGAATCATACAGAAATTAGTTCGTTAGACCTCGAACTTCGTTCTTCTCCTTCAATATTATGTTGGCTGTTCTGGATCTTTTGTCATTTCATATAAACTTTTGAACCAGTTTGTGGATATCCACTTAATAATTTGCTGGAATTTTGATTGGGGTTCCATTAAATCTACAGATCAAGTTTTGAAGAAATGACATTATGACAATATTGAGTCTTCTTATCCATGTACATAGAATAGCTCTCCATTTATTTAGATCTTCTTTGATTTCTTTCATCAGTTTGTAGTTTTTTCTCATATAAACTTTGTACATATTTTATTCTATTTATACTCCATTTATTTAGATCTTTGATTTCTTTCACCAGAGTTTGTAGTTTTCTCATATAAACCTGGTACGTATTTTATTTAATTTATGCCTAAACATTTCTCTTTTCAATGCTAAAGTAAATGGTATTATGCTTTTAATTTCAAATTCCAATTGCCCATTGCTGGTATATCAGAAATCAATTGACTTTTGTACATTAACATTATATTCTACAACCTTACTATAACCACATGTTAGTTCCACAAATGTTTTGGTTGATTTTGGGGGGATTTTTTACATAAACCTTCATGCCATCTGTGAGCAGAGTCTTATTTCTTTCTTCCAAATCTGTTTAACTTTTATGTGTGTTTCACGTTTTATTGCATTAGCTAGGACCCTCAGTATGATGTTGAGTAAGGTGAGAGCAGGCATTCTTGCCTTGTTTTTCATCTTACCAGGAAAGCATCTAACTTCTTACCAGGGAATATGATGTTAGCTGTAGGTTTCCTATAGACATTGTCACTTTGAGGAAGTTTCCCTCTATTCCTAATTTGCCGAGAGTTATCGTTAATGGATGTTGGATTTTGTCAAATGTTTTTCTGCATCTGCTGATGTGATCTTGTTTTTTTTCTTTTTCTTGTTAATGTGATGAAATATATCAGTTTATTTTCAATTGTTGAACTAGCCTTTCATAATTAGGATAAGGTCCACTTCATCATCTTTTTACACATTATTGGATCCAATTTGCTAATACTTTGTTCAGGATTTTTGCTTAATGAAAGATAGTGCTCTTTGTTTTTTCTTTCTTGTAATGTCTTTGGTTTTGGTGTATGGTAATAATGACCTCATAGAATAACTAGGGAAGCATTCTGTATGCTTCTATTTTTTGGAAAAGATTCTGGAGAATTGTTATAATTTTTCTTTTAAGTGTTAGAATTTACCAGAGAACTCTCTGGGGCTTGGTACTTTCTATTTTATCAGCTTATTAATTATTGATTCAGTTCCTTTGATAGGTATAGGACAACTCAGATTGTCTTTTTCTCCTGGTGTGAATTTTAGTAGATTGTATATTTCAAAGAAGTGCTGCATTTTATGTCGGTTATCAAACTTATGAAGTTGTTAATAATATTTCTTTATTTTTTTAAATGTTTTAATGTCCATAGTATCTATAGAGGTGGTTCTTCTTTAAATGTTGATATTAATAATTTGTATTCTTTTTCTCTCTTACTCTGGATAGAGATTTACCAATTTTATTTATCTTTTCAAAGAGTCAGATTTTTATTTGTTGATTTTTTTCTATTGATTTTTCTGTCTTCAATTTTATTGATTTTTATATTTTTCTTCTCCTTATTTTGAGTCTAATTTGTTCTTCCTTTACTAGCTTCCTAAGGTGAAAAGTTAGATTATTAATTTTAGACCCTCCTTGGGATGCAACATGTACATTCAATGCTATAATTTTGGTCTAAGCATTGTTTTACTGCATTTCACACTTTCGTAAGATGTAAGCGAAAATGAAAAGCTATGACCACCCTCTATAACTTACCGCAGTAGCTTTTCCATCCCCTTAATTTTTATCTCTATGGGTCTTCAAATTTAAAGTTGTATTTTCATTTTCATTTAGTTCAAAATATTTTACAATTCCTCCTGAGACTTCCTTGATCCATTTTTTATTTAGAAGTGTGATGTTACGCCTTCATGTATTTGAATGTTTTCTAGTCATCTTTCTGAATTTGATTTCTAGCTTAATTTCACTGTAGTCATAGAGCATAATTTGCATGACTTACATGCTTTTAAATAAGTTGCTTTTTAATGGCCTAGATAGTGATGTGTCTTTGTGAACATTCCATGGGAGCTTCAGAAGCATGTGTATTCTGCTGTTGGGTGAATTATTCTACACATGTCAATTGGATTAATGTCACTGCTGACTTGAATTATAATATGTCTTCCCTAATTTTTTGCCTGCTTAATCTGCTAATTACTAGTAGAGAGATGTTAAAGTCTCAAAGTACAGTAGTAAATTCATCTATTTTTCCTTGAAGTTCTATTAGTTTTTGCCTAACATATAGTGATGCTCTGTTTTTAGGTGTGTAAACACTAAGGATTGTTATGTCTTCTTGGAGAACTGACCGCATTTTTATTATGTAATTACTCTCTTTATTTCTGATAATTCTTCTTGTTCTGAAGTGGGATGTGTCATTAATAGAGCTACTCCTGCTTTCTTTGGATTACTGTTAGCATGCTATTTTTGCCAGTGGGCTGTTTCAGGTTCTTGACTTTGCTGCACAAAAAACTTTGAGAACGAGTCCAAAGTAACAGTAAGCAAAAGAGTTTATTGCAAAGCAAAAGTACACTCTGACAGCTGATCAGAGCAGGCTGCTCAAAGGTGAGACAGCCCTGTCTGATGCAGGGGGATCGCCCTTTATGGGAGATTTACATGATTATTCATGGAGGGGTGGGAAGGGGTGTTCTGATGAGTATGTTATGGGTAGTCCCCTGGCTGCACAGGTGCTGTGGTTGTACATGCTAGGACTTAACATTGCATGTATCATTAGCATCTTAAATCTCCACCCAGGGGTGTTTTTCTTTTACTATTATAGTGAATATAGGTCAGTCCAAGGACACTAATCATGGGTTTCTGTGCTTGTGTGAATTTGGGAATTCTCTCTTCTATTTTTCTACCTCCTTGCTGCAGTATGTTCTAACCCTGAGCCCATGATGTGGTTTGTGCACTGTCGGGTAGTTTATTCTCTCCATCTATTTAGCAAGTTTGTTCTCCTTTAAGGGAGGCTATGACCACCCTTTATAATTTACCTCAGTATCTTTTCCATCCCCTTAATTTTTATCTCTATGAGTCTTCAAATTTAAAATGAGCTTCTTGTAGACAGCTGGGTCTTGTTTTTTGATTTACTATGACAGTCTCTGTATTTTAATTGGTGTGTTTTAGACCATTGACAGTTAAGATGATTATTGATATAGCAATTAATATGTACCATCTGTGTTAATGATTTTTCTTTGCCGTCCTTGCTCTTAGTTATTTTTGTCGCGCATAGTTTTCTACTTTTTGTGTTTTAATTGAGCACTTTATATAATTTCATTTTCTCTCCTCCCTTAGCATATCAATTATACTTTTTTAAAGTTTTAAAACATTAGTCCTAGAGTTCGCAATATATTTTTACAACTAATCCAAGTACACTTTCAAATGACACTATACCACTTCACAGGTAGAAGATATATTAATAACACAATATTCCTAATTCTTCCTTCCTTTCCCTTTTATCATTGCTATCTCTCACTTCATGTACACAAAAGTATGCAAAAGCATATATATATGCGTACATAACCATATATTGTTGCTATTATTATTTTGAGCAAACTATTATGTCTTTGATCAATTAAGAACAAAAAAATGAATGTTTTACTTTACTTTTACTTATTAATTCTTTGACTCTCTTCTTTTATTTATGTAGATTGGAGTGTCTGACCTACATCATTTTCTTTCTGAACTTCCGTTAACATTTCTTGCAAGGTAGGTCTACCAGTAACAATGCCTTCAGGTTTTGTTTGTCTGAGAAGAACTTTAGTTCTTATTACTTTTGAAGGATAATTTTACAGTGTGCAGAAATCTAGGCTGGTGGTTTTTCTCTCAACCTCACTCTTCTTGCTTGCATGGTTTCTAAGAAAATTTAAGAAGTAATTCTTATTTTTGCTCCTTTATATGTAAGGTATTTTTCCTCTCTGGCTTCTTTCAAGACTTTTTTTTTCTTATTTTTGATTTTCTGAAGTTGAATATGAAATGCCTAGGTGTAATTTTTCTTTTCATGTATCCTGTTTGGTGTACTCTGAGCTTTCTTGATCTCTGGTTTGGTGTCTGACGCTAGTTTGGAAGGAATTTTCAGTCATTATTGTTTCAAATATTGCTTCCATTTTTTTCTCTCTTTCCTGTCCTTTTAAAATTCCCAATATATGTATTAACTCCTTTTGTAGTTTTGTTACAGTTCTTTGATATTCTATTCTGTTTTTACTGAGTAATTTTTTTCCTTGCTCTTTAGTTTTGGAAATTTCTATTATCATATCATCAAACTCAAAGATTCTTTTTTGGCTATGTCCAGTCTATTAATGAGCCCATCAAAGCCCTTCTTTATGTCTATTACAATGTCTTTGATCTCCAGCACTTCTTTTTTGATTTTTTTCTTTGTATCCCCATCTCTCTGTTTACATAATTCATCTGTTCTTGCATGTTGTCTGTTTACTAGAGTCCTTAGCACATTAATCACAATTATTTAAAATATCTGCTTTGATAATTCCAACATTCCTGCCATACTTGACTCTGCTTATGATGCTTATTCATACTTTTGAAACTGTTTTTTTCTTTGCATTTCAGTCTATCTTGGAATTTTTTTTGTTGAAAAGTGAACACAATGTACTAAGTAAAAGCAGCTATAGTAAATAGGCCTTTAGTAATGTAGTGATAGAGTGTAAGGGGAAGGGGAGCATTCTATAGTCCTATGATTAGGGCTCAGTCTTTTGGTGAGACTGTGCCCCTTGACTGTGAACTTCATCAGTGCTTCTCAGTTCCTCCCCGACTTTAGATGAGACATAATGGCTGAAGGGAGGATGAAGTTGTATATTTCCCTTTTTCCATGTGGAAATCTAAAAGGGATTGTAGTTGAGTGTTTCTCTTCCCCCACATGAAAGGCCAGAAGGAGATGGAGTTATTTATTCCCTTTTGTGCATGTGGAAGGCTACAGCCAGTTGAGTATTTTCCTTCTGTCACATATAGTAGGCTCTGATAAAACCCCAGCAGATTAGGCCCTAGTAAAATAGTTTCTTCTGGTGCAGGTCTTGTGAAAAAGAACTGAATACTCCAGCATGTTTCCAAATGGTTCCTTTCCCCTTCCTCCTGCCAGAAGCATGAGGACATTTTTTCCAACATTCACTGAGAACCTAGTAGAGTTTCTGGAGGCATAATTCACAATAGTATGGAGACCTTCAATGAGTGTACCCACTTGAAGTTTTTAACTTTCAGAGTTGTTCACATTGAGCTCCAGCAATTTGTTAATTACAGTTTCAGGTTTTTCTACTTCAGCACTGGTGATTTTTTTTTGTGTGTTTTTTTGTTTTTTGTTTTTTCTTTGGTGGAGTTTTGCTCTGTTGCACAAGCTGGAGTACAATGACATGATCTTGCCTCACTGCAATCTCCACCTCCCGGCTTTAAGCAATTCTCCTGCCTCAGCCTCTTGAATAGCTGGGATTACAGGTTCCCGCCAACATGCCCAGCTAATTTTGGTATTTTTAGTAGAGATGGGGTTTCACCGTGTTGGCCAGGCTGGTCTTGAACTCCTGACCTCAGGTGATCTGCCCACCTCGGCCTCCCAAAGTGCTGGGATTACAGGCGTGAGCCACTATGCCCAACCCAACACTGGGTCTTATGGAGATTTCTGCTCATCATTTCTGCATGAGTTAAGTTTTGCTTCTATGTATCTGCCTGTCTGTCTCTCCAATTTGGGGGTCCTTGGTTTGCTCTCTGATCTCATTTCCATGACAGATCTGAGAAGAGGTGTTGAGTTTTTTGTTTGTTCAACTTTTTACTAGTTGTTAGGATAAAGTATGACTATCAAGCTCCTTACATACTGGTTTAGAACCAGAAGGTTTTCCTCTCATGTTTGAAGGACAGTTTTGCTAATTATAAAATTTCCAGTTGACAATTTTGTTCCTCTGCCTACACTCCTTTTGTTTTATCATACTTGGAGTTCATTGAGATTCTTGGATTTGCATATACATGTCTTAAAAATTTGGGAAATTTTTGATCCTTATGTTACCAGAAAGGAGTCCCGATACAGACCCCAAGAGAGGGTTCTTAGAGCTTACACGATAAAGAATTCAGGGCGAGTCCACAGTGCAAAGTAAAAGCAAGTGGTGAAAGAACAGCTACTCCATAGACAGAGTAGGACATTCCTGAAAGTGAGAGGAAGAACACATCCATCCTAGGTACGATGGTTGCATATATGGGGAGATGTGCTCTCCTACAAGAGTTTTTGATAAAGGATTAATTTTCTTAATTACCATATTTTGCAAGAATCAATATTATTATCTTTAATGCAAAATTAGGAATGCCCTTATTCTCCAGATATTGAGATATCTGGACACTCCCAAGTCTGGGTCTGTTTTAGTAAGCATCATTAATTTGTTCACTGATTCATAAACATCTAGAAGCTAGGAAAATGCCTAATTTTCTGAGAATGCAGTCCAGCAAGTCTCTGCCTCATTTTCCTAGCCCTCACTCAAAATGGAGTCGCTCTGGTTTGAACGCCTCTGACACTTATGTTGTCATATAAATCACTGCCTCCTTTCTCTCTTCTGTTTCTGGAACTTCTGTAATGAATAATTGGACTACTCAATGGTGACTCTTAAATACCTTAGACTCTATTCACTTCCTTTTTTTTTTTTTCCTTTTTGGTCCTTAGACTCACTACTTTTAAATAATCTTTCTTTTTGTTTGCTGCTTCTTTCCACTGCCTGCTAGTCTTCTGTTAAAGCTGTCTCATAAATTTTTCAATTCACTTACCGTATTTTTCATCTCCAGAATTTCTTGTTGGTTCTTTTAAAATAATTTCTGTCTCTTTGTTGATATTCTCCTTTTGTTCATATATTATTTTCTTCACTTTTTAGTTATTTGTCTATGTTTTTCTTTAGCTCCTTGAGCATAAGATAGTTGTTTAAAAGTCTTTGTCTAGTATTTCAAATGTCAATGTTTCTTCAGGGACAGTTTCTGCAGCTGTATTTTCTTCTTTGATTGGGCCATGGCTTTCTTGTCTCTTTGAACACCTTGTAATTTGTTATTGTTATTGTTATTGTTATTGTGGAAAATGGGGCATTTAGAAAAAAAGGCATTTCCTCTCCCAATGTTTGCAGACTGAGTCTGTGTAGGAAAAGCTCTTCAATAATTAGAAGGGCATGTTCTTTGACTTAGATCAGCCTGGTCTGAAGGCTTTCATCTTCTGTGGTCTTTTATCAGACTTCATTTTCTCTGGGCCTGTGTGTGCTTTTATTTATTTTTTCCTTGTGTATACAGCCTTTTAGAAAATGTCTTAATTTCCCTAGGGGTCATAGCCCTGCTTCTTCTCAGAGTCAAGAATATTCTATTTTATTCCTCTATCTGTAATCTCATGCTCCAGGCATTTGCAGGTCTATCATGCATCTCACAGCAGCATTCACGAGCTATGTCTGTTGTCTCTCATTGGTTTTCATAGCCTGAGATATGAGCTGTTCTGATCTTTGCTGTCTGACCTATGAGTTAGAAACAACGGAGACTAATCCAACATGGAGCTCCCAGACAGGTTAGAACATTTCAAATAAAGTCTGGTTTACCCTTCCAGTTCCAGGGAAGGAATTGGAAGCTCAGCTATCACTTTCCTAAGACCATTCTGTGCAGTTCCAGGGATGGGATGTGGCAAAGCCAAGTAAAAATGCCACACAATTTTCTACTGCTTTGGATGTGGCTCCGTTTTGTTTGGATGTTCATGTGTTTTCTGTAAACCTTGAGCTGTTTTCCATAGTTCCTAAATGTCAGTTTAACCAATTTGTAGTTTTTTCTTTAATGTTTCCATGGGGGACAAAGTTCTAAAGTTTTCTAGTCTGCCATTTTTCTGACATCACTGAGATTAATTTTATGCCCCAGCATATGTTTTTTTCTAGGTAAATATTCTGTGTACATTTAAAAAAAATGTGTATCTGACAGTTGGTATTTGAAATTTTCTATACATGTCAATTAGGTCAAGTGGTAATGTTGGTCAAATCTTTTACACTCTTACTGAATTTTTGTCTTCTTGTTGTAGAAGTTTTTGATATAGGGGTATAAAAATGTCTGACTAGGCCAGGCGTGGTGGCTCATGCCTGTAATCCCAGCACTTTGGGTGGCTGAGGTAGGTGGATCACCTGAGGTTGGGAGTTCAAGACCAGCCCGGCCAACATAGTGAAACCCCATCTCTACCAAAAATACAAAAAATTAGCTGGGCGTGGTGGTGGGTGCCTGTAATCTCAGCTACTCAGGAGGCTGAGGCAAGAGAATCGCTTGAACCTGGGAGGCGGAGGTTGCAGTGAGGCGAGATCGCACCATTGCACTCCAGCCTGGGGAACAAGAGTGAAACTCAGTCTCAAAACAAACAAACAAAAATCTAACTGTAATTGTGGAAAGAAAAATGTTTATTTTTCTTATAATCTTTATATTTTGCTTCATGTATATTGAATGTACATGATTTGTTATATAAACATTTAGGTTTTTTATTTCTCTTGACAAACTGACCCTTTCGTTATTTTGAAATGACTTTATCTCTAGTAATACCCATTCAACTGAAATTTACTTTGTGTGATACTACTATAGTCACTCCAGATTTCTTTGAGGTAGTGTTTATTATATATTTTTTCGTCTTTTTACTTGTGTTTTTCCATTTAAAGTATGTTTTTTTGGAGGCAGAATACTGTTAGCTTTTGCTTTCTTTGAATCTAATCTGTAAATGTTAGAGTTTTTGGGCAATTGATACTAATGTGATTATTAATATGGTTAGATTTAAGTTTATTTTCTTAAAATGGTTTTTCATTTGTTCCCTCTGTGCTTTGTTACTTTTTCTCTTTTTTAGCCCTTTTTAAAGGATAATTGAGAATTTCTTTAAGAATTTCATCTTATCTCTTTGATTGGCTTATCAGCCTTTACTCTTTGTTGGCATATTTTAGTGGTTGGTTTAGGGTATGTAGCATATATTTTTAACTTTTCACAGTGTATATTCAAGTTATAGTATATTACTTCACATATAAAATTTTTGAATAGCATACTTCCATTTTTCTCCTCATAGGCATTGTGCCATCACTGCCATAAATTTGACTTCTACATGTGTTATAAACCTCATGCTATATTGTTATTACTGTTACTTAAACAATTATATTTTAAAAATGCTTAAATAATAAGAAAAACATTCCAGAGTTTTATTCATGTAGTTACCATGTCCAGTGTCCCACAGTCCTTTGTATGCATTTATATTTCCATCTAGTATCAGTTTTTCAATTTTCTTCTGCCTAAAAACTTTCTTTAACATTTATTGTAAAGTGGCTATGTTGGAGATGAATTATTTCAGGTTTTCTAAGTCTGAAAAATGTCTTTATTTTCATTTTTTAATGTTTTTTTCACTGCATCTAGAATTTTAAGTAGAAATATTCTTACTTTAAGTACTTAAATAAAATTTCTAGTTATATCATACAATGATTAGATTTTTTAAAAATATTTTTTCACATGTACTTTGAAGTTTTTAATTTCTGTTCATACAATGCTGCCATTATAATGGCACTTAAATATCACTACAACCCAAGCATTTTTCTGAGTGTCCAGTACGTATCCATTCACTTAATGTTCACAGGAAGATTTGGAGGCATGCCCTGTTATTATCCCCACTTAAGAGGCCAAGAGAGTACTTGCCCAGAGTTGCTCAGTTAGTAAACCATGTTCCATAGGTGAATAAAACTTTGCCTTTGCAAACTTCAAATGTTGAAAGATAGGTTTAAAGGGTGATTATTGTTATTATTTTTTAACTTTTATTTTAGGTTCAGGGGTACATGTGCTGATTTGTTAGGTAAATTACACATCATAGGGGTTTGGTGTACACATTATTTTGCCACCCAGGTAATAAGCACAGTACTAGATAGGTAGTTTCTCAGTTGTCACCGTCTTCCCTCCCTTTACCCTCAAGTAGGCCCCAGTGCCTGTTGTTCCCTTCTTTGTGTCCATATGTACTCAGTGTTTTGCTCCCACTCATAAGTGAGAACATGCGGCATTTGGTTTCCCGTTCCTGTGTTTGTTTGCTTCGTATAATGGCCTCCAGCTCCATCCATGTTGCTGCAAAGGACATGATCCCGTTCTTTTTTATGGTTGTGTAGTATATTCTGTGGTGTACATGCACCACATTTTCTTTCTTTTTTTTTTTTTTCGAGCGGGAGTCTTGCTCTGTCACCCGGGCTGGAGTGCAGTGGTGCGATCTCGGCTCACTGAAAACTCCGCCTCTGGGGTTCACGCCCTTCTCCTGCCTCAGCCTTCCGAGTACCTGGGACTACAGGCGCCCACCACCACGCCCGGCTAATTTTTTGTATTTTAAATTGAAACGGGGTTTCACCGTGTTAGCCAGGATGGTCCCCATCTCCTGACCTCGTGATCCACCGGCCTCCGCCTCCCAGAGTGCTGGGATTACAGGCGTGAGCCACCGCGCCCGGCCTATGCACCACATTTTCTTTATTCAGTCTACCATTGATGGGCATTTAGGTTGATCCCATGTCTTTGCTATTGTGAATAGTGCTGCAATGAACATACACATGCCTAGGTCTACCATTCTCATTACTGGGTAGAATAGTAATTCTGTTTTGAGTTATTTGAGAAATCACCAAACTGCTTTTGACACTGGCTGAACTAATTTACATGTCCACCAGTAGTGTCTAAGCATTCAAAATGGTGACTTTTTGTTTGTTTGTTTTTGAGAAAGTCTCACTCTGCTGCCCAGGCTGGAGTGCAGTGGTGCGATCTCGGCTCACTGCAACCCCTGCTTCCTGGGTTCAAGTGATTCTCGTGCCCTAGCCTCCCAAGGAGCTGGGATTACAGGCATGCACCACCACGCCTGGCTAATTTTTGTATTTTTTGTGGAGAAGGGGTTTCACCATGTTGGCCAGTCTGGTCTCGAACTCCTAACCTCAAGTGATCCGCCCTCCTTGGCTTCCCAAAATGCCAGCATTACAGGCATGAGCCACCGCACGCAGCCTCAAAAGTGTGATTTTTTAAAGAGCAAATAAAATACATCAAAATTAACTTATATCTGAAAAAAAGAAACTTAATAGACCAGTACTTTGATATGTGATTCAACTAGAGCTTTCATAAAAAACTTTAGGCTCCCTAAAACGGCTCTTTATTGGATTAGTACAATTGGCTGAATTTTTGTTTAAGGGTAAAATTTGCCCAAGAATGTAGGGCTTTAAAATTTATTTGCCGGCGGGGTGTGGAGGCTCACGCTTATAATCCCAACACTTTGGGAGGCCGAGGTGGGCGGATCACGAGGTCAGGAGATCGAGAGCATCCTGGCTATGGTGAAACCCCGTCTCTACTAAAAATACAAAAAATTGGCCGGGCGCGGTGGTGGGCGCCTGTAGTCCCAGCTACTCCGGACGCTGAGGCAGGAGAATGACGTGAACCCGGGAGGCGGAGCTTGCAGTGAGCTGAGATCTCACCACTGTACTCCAGCCTGGGCGACAGAGCGAGACTCCGTCTCAAAAAAAAAAAAATACACACACACACACACACACACACACACACACACACACACACACACACAGCCGGGCGTGGTGGCGGGCGCCTGTAGTCCCAGCTAGGCTCCGTCTCAAAAAAAAAAAAAAAATACACACACACACACACACACACACACACCACACACACACACACACACTCTTAGCCAGGCGTGGTGGCGGGCGCCTGTAGTCCCAGCTACTCAGCAGGCTGAGGCAGGAGAATGGCCTGAACCCGGGAGGCGGAGCTTGCAATGAGCCCAGATGGCGCCACTGCACTCCAGCCTGGGCAACAAAGCAAGCCTCCTTCTCGGAAAAAAAAAAAAAAGAACAAATCATATGAAACAAAAAAATAGCAGTTCTAACATGAATGTGAATCTGTATTTAATGGCAACTACACTTAGGTGTTTATGAGAGAATATTAAAATTTCATAAATTTACATTGAACACTTAAGAAAAGAAACATTGGCACAAAACTCTTTGAACCATGAAAAGTCCACTTTATTCAATATTTATGTGGAAATTGTTCTGGCATAACTTCATTCTACACTGCTACAACAGGAAACTATAGGAACATAAGGACAAAATGCCAACATTTAACTGCAGCCTTTCCTGGGAAACATAATATATTTAAATAGCCTTTAGAGACAAAGAAGAGTCTATTTAATTTATGGAATGAAAAGAAATGTGACAACAAAGCATTTTGTAGTCATGGTTATCAGTCTTTGAAAAAGTTCTTAATAGGATTTGGGTTTATTTTAATTAATGAAAATAAAATATGAATAATTTATTGAACTCAGTATATTTTAGCAGTGGGAACTTCTCATAAATTATTCTCAAATAATTTTCACAAGCTAATCAAAAAAGACATAATTCTGTTTATTATGAAAAATGGGATCCAAGGTTTCGAGAGAACTTTCGTGTCTTGCTATTGTTTCTAAAGTCTCCCTCCAGACCATCTCATTTCTGAGTTACAGACTTTCCTAAATAACAAATGCAGCCAAATATTTTATCACTTCAGGGTCATTTTTGTTTGTTTGTTTTCTCCCTTTCTCTCTCTCTTTTTTTGTATCCTTATACCCGGCAGCAGTTTCTTTGAAAATTTGGACCAGAAGATGCATAACAAGTTGTTCTGCAGAAGTTCTTATCTGATATTCTTAGGGAGCTATCCTGCATGTAATCTTCATTTTTTTTCTCTACCATCATGTAGGCATACTCAGTGTAGACTACCACAATCCTGGATACCTCTCTGCTTAGATTTACAATCTCTGCTAAGATTTGCCACTGCAGAAAGTGTAGTAGTTTCACTACATATGAAAAAAAAGACTGCCTTCTAACTGCGTACTTATTTCTAGCTTCTAGATTGCACATTTACAGTGTTTGCAAAAGCAATAACTATTCTTACCAGTAGGAGATGAATTACACACTCCTTCTTCTTCTATAATAAGAGTTATCTACCTTCTGGTCAAAGTGCTTCCTTAAGGCACTTTGAAGCTCATCTGCTGGCAGGCATGAAGCATGCTGTTCCCCTGAGACTTCACGAACTGGATCTACTCAAGACAAAACAGTCTCTGCTTCATTATATTCAGAAATTCAGGCTTGCCATGAGGCTGTTTAGTGTTCTGAAACACAAATGCTGGCAAATCTAAAAATTCTCCCAAACACATATCTACCAATTTTTGCTCCTTAAATAGGAACAGTATTTTCTCATATCCTTAGATTAGCTGAGTTAAAAAGATGTCCCAAACATTGAGTCCCATTATTTTAAGCTTGAAGTTTTATAATTATAGCTTTATCCTTGCCCCATGAGAGAGGCATTCTCTATCAAGCCATTCAAGCAAGGATCAGTTTTCAGTTTAGATAAAACTACAAAATGAATAAATTCACTTCTGACATTTAATTAATGCCTTTCTTTACTCTCTCCTACCCCTACACTCCACCCCTTATAGTACTTGCCTCCTCTCATTCTCCCCATCTCCAGCCCAAATCCAGATGACTTCTGCTATATTAAAGTTTGCTTTCAGGAAAAGATCTGAAATCCGTAAGCGGTTTCATACTAAATATTAGCACACTTCAGTGGTAGAACATTGATTTGCTGAAGTCTGGGGTTGATTTCCTAGCCCCTAAAATCACATTCTAACTGTGACTACCTGTTCTTTCTATAAGTTTAACATTGATTTAGGGTGAGACTTATCTTTTTATATAAACGAAAATATTTGGGAGAATGCTTTCTTTGTTTCTTTCTTTCTTTCTTTCTTTTTTTTTTTTGAGACAGAGACTTGTTCTTTCACCCAGGCTGGAGTGCAGTGGCGTGATCTTGGCTCACTGCAAGCTCCACCTCCGGGGTTCAAGCGATTCTCCTGCCTCAGCCTCCCGAGTAGCTGGGACTACAGGCACCCACTACTATATCCGGCTAATTTTTTTGTATTTTTAGTGGAGACGAGGTTTCACCATGTTAGCCAGGATGGTCTCGATCTCCTGACCTCGTGATTCACCCACCTCGGCCTTCCAAAGTTCTGGGATTACAGGCATGAGCCACCGCACCCAGCCAAGAATGTTTCTTTCATATGTGACCACATAGGGTATTTCATGTATTAGCGTTAATGTTCCTTATCAAATATGCAATCAGGGACTCTCTATAGAATCAATTTCAATAAAACAGTTAAGCAATTTTTTAATGGAGTAGGCATTGATTATAATTTTCTCCTCTTCTGACTTTTCAATTCTTCCCAATTAGCCAGTGATAAGAAACTGGAAAGAAAATTTCAACTTGTTTACCATTCATTCACTTGTTTTTTTTAACCTACTGTAGTTTGGAAGGATTAAATTTTAGGCTACCTGATTCATTTCACAAAAAAATTTATAATGTTTTAATAAAAAATATTTCCCTTTGTATTTGAGCTCAACTTAATTCCCATTTGGCCCTGAAATGTGAGAATTGTTTTCCTAAAATATTGATGGATGTCAGAAGGCCACAAGAAGTGAGACCTCATCGTTTTTGCTCTATGAGAACATCAATCTTTCTATTTCTGTGAAAAATAAGGAAAGGTAGGTGGACTCTGGTGATTTCCTGATGTTGAAGTTAATAAAAAGCTCCATTCAAAACTACGATATTCAGCACAATTAATCTTCCCTGTTAATATAAACAGAAGAAAGAGTAAACTATTTGACCTCAAAGCTCTGGTTTAATTTCTAGCAAGTACGATTACTTCGGTTCATAATTTAAAAAATAAAAGCTTTAGATTTCTATTCCAAGCCATTACTTTATAAATCATTCATTAAAGAACATGAATGCACAAAACAAAAATAAACTTTTTTTTTAAATTTGATAAGTGTCAGTGTTCTAGGATGTGCTGGCCATTCTTTGTGGAGGTCCTCAGAACCACCCTCTACCCTTCCAGCCCCAGTGTCACCCTTCCTGCCCGAGTGTCACCCTGCTCCCCTCCCAGCTGACTTCCAGTTGGTTTTGGCTAATGAGAGACACCCACAGAAACAGGAAGGTTTCAGAAGTCAGAGCTCAAAAAGTTTCTTCCCTACTCACTCCTGTTTCCAGGTTCTGACAACAAATTTTTTTACTTCTATGACTGCGGCTCCTGCCAGACCTTTGTGTTCCCTGGCTGCTGCCTTCTGGGGATCTGGCAGCAACCGTTCCTCCCTCCGCGCCTCTGCTGTAGGTGGTAAAGGCTTTCTGCTAGTGCTTGTCTTTGGTTGCCACAAGGTCACCTGGTGGGTCCCTTCACTTTTCTTTACAGCCTGTTCCTTTAAACTATCTGAGCAAATCATGCTTTCTTTCTGGGCCTTGACTAATGCAGTAGTGCATTTTAAAAATCTGATTAATATCACATTGCATTGCTTAGAAAAATATCATAAGAAAAATAATTCTTTGAGAAGTAGCATATTTGTGAAAGTAGATCTATTTAGGAATTAAAATGCTATTAGATTGGCAGGCAAATGTTATATTTTTGTATTCTCACTCTATTTTCTAGAACTGAAAACTAAGTTCTAGCTTAGACTGGAATGCACACGGTATACTACAAAGAGAGATGATAAAATTGCAGGATGAGAGTATAAAGTACAAGGTAAAACCTTATTAAAACAAAATAAGCACAACTCTACGTACAGGTTGTATGTGTTTATATATGAGCCAAGGCCGGGTGTGATGGCTCACGCCTGTAATCTCAAGACTTTGGGAGGCCAAGGCAGGTGGATCACTTGAGCTCAGGAAGTTCGAGACCAGCCTGGGCAACATGGAAAAACCTTGTCCCTACCAAAAATACAAAAACTTAGCCGGGTCTGGTGGCACTCACTTGTTGTCCCAGCTTCTCAGAAGGCTGAGGCACACGAATTGCTTGAACCTGGGAGGCAGAGGTTGCAGTGAGCAAAGATCACACCACTACTGCACTCCAGTCTAGGCGACAGAGCGAGACTCTGTCTCAAAAAAAAAAAAAAAGAAGCAGAAGAAGAGCCAAAACAAGGATACATAAGGATACATACTAGCCTGTCAGCCTGTTATGTATCATTGGTTACCTCAGTGGGGTTGGGGTGATGGTAGTGGCAATTATTAACATTTTCTTTATACAATTCTTTTAAAAATGTTCCTTTTGTAATTCAAAATATTCAAGAACAAATTTCAAAAGAGTCTATCTTAACAAACATTTACATTCTTATAATCCAGAAGCTAGTCATCAAACACACCTCAGTATCATCATTTGTTCCAATATAAATATACTCACTTCCTAAATATGTGCTATTACAAAGTAGATCTTATTCCTTTTTTATTCTGGTTGAATCATGCAACCATTATCCAGATTGAAATAAAAAATATAATTGTATTTATTATCCATGTTAAGGTTAAATAGAAGGTAAGTAAGAAGTTTCAAAGTTTAAATTGCATTATCATGGAAAGTAGGGAAGAAAGGAAATAAAGCAGCAACACATAAAACATTTATATTTGTGATATTCGACATTTTTTCTAGGACATCCAGTGTTCTAGTTACATCGGCCATCTCGAATTCATGCCTTCATTTGTTCAGTAAGTGTGTAGTGTGTGATGATTGTGACGGATGCTTCTCTATTAGGCAAAGTAATTTTTAGAGCCTCACTACTCTTAGTCTGCAAAGTTCATTGACAGCATTATCACCACAGCAAGTGTCTATGCTGATTTAAATAATAACCATATAGCAGCAATTATAGCCACATAAAATGCATTTCAAGACACACATTTATGTCTAAGGACTTCAAGTCCCCTAACCAAACAACTTAAGTAGAATAAACCTAAATAAGTTTTAAGTCAAAAGCAGGGGAATCAAAACAATTACAAGCCTCCTGTCTTAGAAGAAAATGCTGATGCTTATTGGCTTAACCATATAAAATAGTGTATATACGTTTACTAGACATGAACAACTTGGAACAAATTTTGAGTGTACCTATAAGTGTGTAAAATGTATATTTTATGTATTGGGAATAATATTCATAAACATATTCCTCCAATGTTGTAAAAAATGCATTCACCCTCACTACGCTAGTGATTTTACAGTTTAATGAAGCCATTTTTTTAATTGCAAATGTCTACCACCGTAGAAGTTTCTTGTCCTTTCTCCATTAAGCCTAACACTTTGAACACCCAAGTTCACTTTTTTTTTTTTTTTGTCTTGAGACGGAGTCTGGCTCTGTCGCCAAGCTAGAGTGCAGGGCGCAATGTTGGCTTGCTGCAACCTCTGCCTCCCGGGTTCAAGCGATTCTCCTGCCTCAGCCTCCCGAGTAGCTGGGACTACAGGCAGGCACCACCACGCCCGGCTAATTTTTTGTATTTTAATAGAGACGGGGTTTCACCATGTTGGCCAGGATGGGCTCCATCTCCTGACCTCTTGGCCTCCTCGGCCTCCCAAAGTGCTGAGATTACAGGCATGAGCCGCTGCACCCGGCCAAGTTCACATTTTTAAAGACTCCATCTGATGCCTGACAAATTGGTATAATAATAGATTGACATTTGTTGTTTTACTCTAGGTCCAATTTAGAAAATGATTTCCATTTTCTCTCTGTCTCACTGAAGGCAACTGATCTGTCAATCAAAACTTTAGATTTATAATTTTTTCTGTAATAAAAGACGTGCTATTTACAGAGTTCTTGTGCAAAAGTAGTTTAAGTGAACCCAATTTATAATTCAAGAATGACTTTGTAAGTTTCTTCATCTATTACACTTGAATTCATTTTACATTTTACATCTATTACATTTGAATTCATTTTAATGAAAAAGCCTTTCAAAGTTGTCTTTCCAAAGGGAAGATTAATACACTATTTCTTAGAGATACCATCTAAAAAAGTTAGTATCTTTCTTTCTTTTTTCTTTTTTGGAAACTCGCGGTGGTGGTAATGTGAGTGAGTTTGTCAATCTTTGCCCCTACTGTGAATTTGAGAAGCAGAGGAAGAGAAAAAGAGAAAGACCCCCCCGCCCCCTGCCTCCCGCCTCCCGCCTCTGCCCCTCTCTCTAGCACACAGCAGGCGCGCAAGGAGTGCAGTGTTAGCTGCTGCTGGACTGAGCTCCTCATCCTACACTTGCAGGGGTTGCTCTTTTGGACAGAAAGCTGGAATAAAACATAAATTTTAGACTTCCACCAAGGCCAGGACTAGGGTGAAGGGACTAACGCACTAGTCTCAGGAGCAACTGTTAAGTAACGCTAATCCTGAATGAATGAAATAGTTTTAAAATTGAATGTAATCGCAAAGAAAAAAAACCCATGATAGACAAAATATTAAAACTTTAAATAAAGGCTTGCACTCGCACAACCCAGGCTCACCGGCCTCTCCCTGCTCCTGGCCCGGTTTCCCAGCTTGGTTCTCTACAAGTCAGAATTCCTAGCAAAATCAAAGTGTGCGCGCGTCTGCCCGAGTACACGCCGCAGAGTTATTTCTGCCCCATCTTCCCTATTTGAACTCAAACAGGACAGGATTTTCCTGGGTGCAGCCCCTGCGTTGGGTGAACAGCAGAGTGATAAAGCCTGGCGTTCTCCACCTGCAGGCGGAGGCTGACGGCGCGGTCTTTGGCACGAGTCCGTGCACCGCGGCCGCCCCGCCCCGGTGGGAGAGAGGGACGGAGGAAGCTGCCGGTATAACGGGAGGAGAGCGCCAGGCGGAGCTGGGGCGTCCCTCCCGCTCGCTTCTTGACTCGCGTTGCTGCCGGCCGCCTCCCGCGCCTAGTGTCCGGGACGCGCCTGAACCTGCCGCCTCCGTGCCTGGGGCGGCGCCGCGCGGCCCCGAGCGCTCCAGAAAGCTGCGGCGCGAGTCCGCGGGGCCGACCTCGGAGACGCAGCTGGGGCCGGGCGCGGCTTGGCGGGAGGGTCTGCAGCGCCGAGGGAGGCTGCCAGTGCGTGAGGAAGAGAGCTAGAGACTGGACAGGGGAGACAGAGCAGCGTCGGAGCCGCGCAGGGGACGGGAGTGAGAGCGGGAGTGAGAGCAGGAACGACGCAGAGCGGCCGTCGCCTTGCCCGGGTCTCAGGGCGCCTGGCTGAAGAGAGCATGGCTTCAGTGGCCTGGGCCGTCCTCAAGGTGCTGCTGCTTCTCCCCACTCAGACTTGGAGCCCCGTAGGAGCAGGAAATCCACGTAAGTACAGCAAATGGTTTAAAACTTGCGCTAGGCTGTCTGGAAAACTTTGTATTTTTTTATTATCGGTAATATTTGGAAGTGGAATTGCAGAACATGCTCCTGAACATGAAGAACCTTAAAAAAATATTTGGAATTGCAACCCGAAAAAGACGATTTTGTTTACAATAGACTTTCCTCTTGTGGGGGAGTCTAAGATATACCATGCATGTTTTGACTTTTTAATCGATGTTCTTGAATATTCATTGAGAAAGTGGCCGTTTCTGTAAAACCTGAAAAGAGCATCTTAATAAGAGATTAGCCTGCAAATGCTGTCATTTATTCCTTTTTAGGATTGTAATATTTTGTAGGAATTAAGTCTAACAGGGAAAAAACTGGCAGACATTACATCATACTGCATCAACTTAGATGTTAGCAGCTTACAGTTTTGCCGACCTTGGCAGCTTCAGAGTTAAAATGCTAATTAACTTCCACGCAGTATAGGGACAGAGCGCCTGTAGGCGAAACTAAATTAATAACCTGCCCTAACTACTAAGGGAATAACACTTGAACACCCCTGTCAGGGGCTTCGTTTCTCAGTAGAAAGTTCTTGGTTAAAGACAAAACTCAGCCAGTCATTTAGGTGATCTTGAAAATGATTCCTCTCTGGATGCTAATATTTTACATTATTTAATTTGCCATCGGGTTCCCTGTTTTTTATTTTCCTTAATTTGGTAAACACCTAGGAAGCTTTTATTTCTAGAATGGGCTATGATTCTACATCATATGTAGTATCCTCATATCTAATAAATTTTACTAATTTTAAATTACCTTTTAGATCAAGTAATTCTTCCAGATAAAACTATGTAACTATAATAATTATACCACCTTCAATACCAAGAAGAAAGTCAATAAGGACATCTAAAAGTTTCCTTCTCATGTAGACACCATGAGTTGCTCACGTTATTCACAGCTGGTTTTCCAGAAGCACATTGGCCACCCACGAAGGCAGCCTGTTGATGATGGCATGAAATGGCTCTTCATGGGAAGAGCTCTCTAGGCCGGGCACAGTGGCTCATGTCTGTAATCCCAGCACTTTGGGAGGCCGAGGTGGGTGGATCACCTGAGGTCAGGAGTTCGAGACCAGCTTGGCCACCATGGTGAAACCCTGTCTCTACTAAAAATACAAAAATTAGCCGGGCGTGGTGGCAGGCATCTGTAATTCCAGCTACTCGGGAGGCTGAGGCAGGAGAATCGCTTGAACCTGGGAGGTGGAGGTTGCAGTGAGCTGAGATCCCACCATAGCACTCCAGCCTGGGCAACAAGAGCAAAACGCAAAACTCCGTCTCAAAAAAAAAAAAGCTCTCTAAACATTTGGCATTTTGGGGATTATGTGCAGTTTATCTGAATGTTATTTGACCCGACAAATACATGGGAAAGCTTTGTTAGGAAGATTCTGCATGAAGGGAAATATTTTCGTAACTTCAGTGCCCATAGACTTGCACTGAGTGAAAGGTCACTTACTGCTCTCATTGAGTCCCTGAAAACAACAGGAAGCATCAAGAGAAAGATTGAACTCTGGGCACTGATCCCAGGGATACACAAACAAATGGCTGGGCAGATTTTGCAGAAATTCCTGTAATTGGTAAAATGCTGAGTAATAGCCTTTGATGTAACTTTTCAGTGGGTTAATTTATTCATTACTTAGCCTAAAACACTTTTAATTTTAATTGCCTCAATTTTTTCCCCTAAATGGTTATGTTTTGCAAGTTCGCTAGCCAGCCTGGGGAAAGAAGGGTAAGCCTACTATAGAGTGTGTGTGGGTTAGTTAGGAAACTCACTTAGATGTGAAATGTGTCAGGAAAGAGATCTCACAGAGTGTAGGAATAATTATTTTTACAGATGTTTCATTTTGGACCTTTTAGTAATACCATTTTAAGAGAGATTCTGCAGATGAATAACAGACTCTTAATTTTAGTGTCAAATGGTACTCTATAAAAAATGGAGTTCAGGCTGGGCACGGTGGCTCACACCTGTAATCTCAGCACTTTGGGAGGCTGAGGCGGGTGGATCACTTGAGGTCGGGAGTTCGAAACCAGCCTGGACAACACGGTGAAACCCCGCCTCTACTAAAAATATGAAAAAATTTCAGGGCATGGTGGCAGGTGCCTGTGAGGAGGCAGTGAGCTGAGATCGTGCCACTGCACTCCAGCCTGGGTGACGGAGTGAGACTCTGTCTCAAAAAAAAAAACAAAAAAAACCCCAAAAAATGTAGTTCACATGCCTTTATTCATTTTCACCAAACTCTATACAAACAGTATGGAGCAGAAGTAGCCCATGGAAATGATAATTAATTCCAAGACATTGGTTTGATCATGAAAAAAGAAAAATCAAATTACTTGGCATTCTTCTTCCTCTTCCTCTCCCCTTCTCTTTTTGAACAATTCAGTCCAAGGTCATTCAGTTCGGCTTAGGCATCCATGCTGGGTAGTGGGGAGGCCCAGGACCATGGCAGAGCATTCAGAAACCAGCAGGGTAAGGAAAGCATCCACAGTATAGCAAGGGTGGGGACCTGGAGAGACAGGAGACAGCACTGGTGGTGACCTATAGCAAGTTGTCAGAAGTTGAGTGGAGTGAGGAAGGAGGCATTCCAGATTGACAGAGGCTAAGAAAACAAGGCAACTAAATACTATTCTGCATTAAATGCTTATGTTATAAAGGACATGATTGGGAATTGGTGAAACTTGAACAAGATTGGGGATTAAATATTGGAACTTTATCCATGATGACTGTGATGATCATATTATGGTTATATAGGAGAACATCTTTGTTGTAGGAAATGTACATTGAAGTATTCAGGGGTGATACAGCATATTAGCATAGTTCTTCCATGTTTTCTGTAAATTGGTTTCAAAATCAAATGGTTACTTTAAAAAACCATTCAAAATTGTGTTTAAAGGAAACATGGACCAATAGAAAAACTCAGAATAAGTAAATGTAGTTAAATTGATGTATTTTACCTAAGAGATGTAGACTAAAAATAAAGAGGCTGAAAAAAAACAATTATGAGAAATAACAGTTCATTTATATATGTCTCTAAATCAAATTAGCCTGGATTTCTGAATGACAAAGATGTAATTGGCACTGGGATTGTTCTCCATTCTTTTTGGGAAGTTTATTGCCTAGGACATCTGTATCAGTCTTCGAAGTACTTTTTAAAGCTTGAATATCTGAATGAACCCGTCAGACTGACTGTTATCTGGTCTTCTGTAATGGGCTTCCGCACCTTTGACGAGACTCTTAGCTGAAAGGTTGCTTGTCCCTAGGCCCGGTTGCTGCACGTTGTAAGAGCATTTGCAAACGCTTGGTTGTACATGATTGTGCACATGTCAAGTCTGCTCTGTCACTGTAGAAAAAATATTCCTTTTCCACTTGACATATAAAGCATGGAATTGTTTGTTTTAAATGTATTTTGTCAAGGAATTCATATATCTGCTTGATGTGTTGTGGTACTGTATAAAAGACAAGTGTGAAATTCATTGCTTACTATGATAGCCTTAACAGGACTACAGTAAATCTAGTTTTCTAAAAAACGGAGTATATGCTTAGCTTGGTTAAAATTTTATAATGAAATGACTACTCTGGTAATAAAAATTAAAAAATATCATAAAGTGGGGGCTAAAAAATGATACTGCATGTGTTCCAGTTAATGAACATTTTTGTTGTAATAATACGAAGAGTGATTGAAATCTAAAAACATTCGAGATTTTAAAATAGTTTTAACCTTATAACTACAGGATTGTAATTTAAGTAGCATACCTACTTAATAAGGCAGCAATTAAAATTATTGCTAAGAATTAAATTACCAAGAAGACGTGGTCTAGTATGTATTGCCTGGGCTGTGGTTTGAATTACTTTTGATTAAGTATAATCACATTTTTTGAGAGTATAAAAACAGAGGATATTACTTGCTTCTAATTCACAGATGTGTTTATGAACCATTGGCAATTAAAGCATTTGCAATTGAGGCCCTAAGAAAATTTTAGGTTAAAATAACATGTTGAGTTATGCCTTATAACTCAGTATATGCTTATACTTTATATGCTTTACGGAGTTTTGAATATATAATATATATGTATAATAGTATATTTTTCCAGGAAATATATAACTTGTAGTTCCTTGACTTATTTTGTAACTAAA
The DNA here is from genome assembly GCF_000001405.40 of Homo sapiens. Taxonomy (NCBI): domain Eukaryota; kingdom Metazoa; phylum Chordata; class Mammalia; order Primates; family Hominidae; genus Homo; species Homo sapiens. The sequence continues at coordinate 67,063,823 of NC_000009.12, forward strand.
TCCCGTGGAAAAAAGTTTATTGAATGTCATTGTTTCTCAGGCAAATGTGGAGTTAGGAAAATGATATATATACATATTGGGAATCTTTTAGAAGGCTTGGACTTGGTAGCTCAAATCTTCTGCAACCTTGAGCTTCAACTTTCTGGCCGGTTCAAGAGATCTCTTCACTGTCCTTTTCATGTAAAGTCAATGTTTATGGAACACTAGACCAAAATGGAAGGATTCCTTTGGAAACTGAACAAACAGTTGAATTAGTCTTTGACTTGATGGGGTGATTTGATCTAAAATATTACCTATCAGTTTTAGATATCTGTTCAATCAGAGCTGCCTCCATATATGCAAATGATAATTTGTCTTGGATTTTTAGATATCTTAGCCCTCAGACAAGCTAATAGAGTTTAAATTGAACCTGGTGTTTTAGGGACAGTTGAATTGTTGGGGTGCCCAGGAAAACAGTCACATTTTTCTATAAGTATGTGTTTATTTGGCTGGAATGTGGGTGAGGAAGAAGTTATATGTGAATTAAAAGAAACATTGTCTCAATGTCACATGTTAAATTAAATTAAATTACAGGCAGAACTAAGCGAGTTTACGATTGCTGCCGCTGGGAGCAGAGACTATTTTCAGCTTACATTTATAACAGAAGGAGGGATTTAAAATATAGTATTATGCCTACCCTGATACAGCTAACCTCCTCCACCCGCCCCTCCACACACATACAGCTACATGCTTACCCTCGAACTATGAAAGAAGGGTGTCTCTCAGACATCCTATATTTAACCCAGCTTTGGACAGGTCCCTGGAGTCTAGTCTTTTTGAACACAGCAGTGAAGATAAGGAATGGGGAGGGGGCTTTGATTTCAAGACCACTAGATATAGTAGATTCCTAATTTAATTTCAAAGACAAATCAATTATTAACACAAATACAAAGAGAACAGTATTTTAAGCAAAGCTTCTGTTGTGGCAGATAACCTTTTAAGGTGTCTCCCAGTTGGGTTTCTATTTTAGATGACTTTTTGAAGAATATATCTCTGTAATAGAAACATGTTTGATGATTCTCATCTTTAAGAACTGCACATTTGCTATAATTAAGATATTTATGAATTTATTGTAAGAAGATTGGTAGAAAAAGTAATGCAACATCAAATGGGAAAATAAATATATAATATTATATAGCTGTTCAAATATAGGGTTTATGATTCTTGTGCTAATTTGAACTGCTGTACAACACCAGGAGAAAAGTCCACAGCTGTGTTAAGAAAGCTCTTATAAGCTTATGAAATTTTATAGCACAGGCTGTCACAGAACCTACAATTTACAAACATTTGTAAAAGTTAGGAAAGTTTTGGGTTCCTCAATAGAAAATGATGTTGCTTAGCTTTAAGAAAGTAACTAATTTATCTCTTTTTATTCTTGTCCACTAACAAAGGAACCCAAATGGTCTTTTAAAATTATAATAAAACTAAGCTAGTAAAATATCACATAGATTTTGAGATACTGTGAATAACCATAGAAAATAACAATTTGTTATTCTTCATGTATAAAAATAAGCTTAACACGCTTATCAATACATCTTGAACTATAAGAGATTTATTTCAGCAGTGTTGCCAAAGGGCAAGCAATGCCTGCTGCCCATAGAAAACTTTGAATTCCCTAAGCTCGGGGCTCCTCACTTGTCATGTAACCCACTGCGTGTGCACACATCCATCTGTGCCCATCCATATTCCCCCAGAGGACTTGGAGGCAAGGAAATTGATGCAAATATGCTGATGCTCATATTGTTTGCTATGCTGTAAGTAATACAGTCCTTTGCTTTGACCCAGAAGTCTTCTGCCGCAACCATGAAACAAACTGGCAGACTCATTTGTTAGCTTGCAAGTAGGGTAAAATCTCTCCTCACGGTTCTTCACAGTGTACTTGTCTGTGCAGTGGTCATCTTCTTCATGAATATAATTATAACATGATATAAGAAATAGTGAGCTCTTACCTATAGATAAGCAAACATTGCAATATAAAAATAGCATATGTCATTTCATAAATCACAGTTGACACATTCTAGAGAAGAGATTGGGCAGCCTTCCTTTTTTGGATGTCACAGTTGATTCTACTGTCCTCATTTCTTCTTCTCTTTTCTGGGATATGAGGAAGAATTGCTGTGACAAAGCTCATCTCCTGGGTGGCCGGGGTTGATTGTCAATTTGTTTTGTTTTGGCAGGCTAGGCAGATGTCCTCTACCTCCTTCTTTATGCCATGTGACATTCATCCCTTTGATTTTCCTATTGCATTTTATTTAGTATTTTAGAATACTGCCCACATTCCATTCTGGAAAGTCCACTGTCCCAGCCAGAGTTTTCTTAGAAAGCTGAGCCTGTGATGGGCGTTTGTGCAGGTAGCCTCTTTTAGAAAGTGAGCACATAAAAGAGGGAAGAATGGAATAGAGAAGAAAAATCCACCAAAAGGGGGTGTCATTGAGCTGGTCACTTCTGTGAGCAACTGGGGCACGAACTCCCTGGGAAGCTCTCAGGAAGCCGGTAGAATGTGTTTCACAGCTGTGCCTCTGAGAGACAGCAGGGGGAATGCATTTATCCCGAGTCCTGTCCAGGGATTCAGCACTGCCCTTGGGGTGCTAACTCCTGGCTCTAAGGAGAGGAATATGAATGAATGGGTTGTGACTGGGTTTCTGCAGGCATCGCAGAGGCCAAGAGACAAAGAGAGAACTCGAACACTGAACTTTTCAATTTTTTATTATTTTATTATTATTATACTTTAAGTTACAGGGTACATGTGCACAACGTGCAGGTTTGTTGCATATGTATACATGTGCCATGTTGGTGTGCTGCACCCATTAACTCATCATTTAGCATTAGGTATATCTCCTAATGCTATCCCTCCCCCCTCCCCCCACCCCGTGACAGTCCCCGTTGTGTAGTGTTCCCCTTCCTGTGTCCATGTGTTCTCATTGTTCAGTTCCCACCTATGAGTGAGAACATGCGGTGTTTGGTTTTTTGTCCTTGCGATAGTTTGCTGAGAATGATGGTTTCCAGCTTCATCCATGTCCCTACAAAGGACATGAACTCATCATTTTTTATGGCTGCATTGTATTCCATGGTGTATATGTGCCACATTTTCTTAATCCAGTCTATCATTGATTGACATTTGGGTTGGTTCCAAGTCTTGCTATTGTGAATAGTGCTGCAATAAACATACGTGTGCATGTGTCTTTATAGCAGCATGATTTATAATCCTTTGGGTATATACCCAGTAATGGGATGGCTGGGTCAAATGGTATTTCTAGTTCTAGATCCCTGAGGAATGGCCACACTGACTTCCACAATGGTTGAACTAGTTTACAGTCCCACCAACAGTGTAAAAGTGTTCCTATTTCTCCACATCCTCTCCAGCACCTGTTGTTTCCTGACTTTTTAATGATCGTCATTCTAACTGGGGTGAGATGGTATCTCATTGTGGTTTTTGATTTGCATTTGATTGCCAGTGGTGATGAGCATTTTTTCGTGTGTTTTTTGGCTGCATAAATGTCTTCTTTAGAGAAGTGTCTGTTCATATCCTTTGCTCACTTTTTGATGGGATTGTTGTTTTTTCTCTTGTAAATTTGTTTGAGTTCATTGTAGATTCTGGATGTTAGCCCTTTGTCAGATGAGTAGGTTGCAAAAATTTCCTTCCATTCTGTAGGTTGCCTGTTCACTCTGATGGTAGTTTCTTTTGCTCTGTAGAAGCTCTTTAGTTTAATTAGATCCCATTTGTCAATTTTGGCTTTTGTTGTCATTGTTTTTGGTGTTTTAGACATGAAGTCCTTGCCCATGACTGTGTCCTGAATGGTATTGCCTAGGTTTTCTTCTAGGGTTTTTATGGTTTTAGGTCTAACATTTAAGTCTTTAATCCATCTTGAATTAATTTTTGTATAAGGTGTAAGGAAGGGATCCAGTTTCAGCTTTCTACTTATGGCTAGCCAGTTTTCCCAGCACCATTTATTAAATAGGGAATCCTTTCCCCATTGCTTATTTTTGTCAGGTTTCTCAAAGATCAGATAGTTGTAGATATGTGGCATTATTTCTGAGGGCTCCGTTCTGTTGTTCTATATCTCTGTTTTGGTACCAGTACCATGCTGTTTTGGTTACTGTAGCCTTGTAGTATAGTTTGAAGTCAGGTAGTGTGATGCCTCCAGCTTTGTTCTTTTGGCTTAGGATTGACTTGGCAATGCGGGCTCTTTTTTGGTTCCATATGAACTTTAAAGTAGTTTTTTCCAATTCTGTGAAGAAAGTCATTGGTAGCTTGATGGGGATGGCATTGAATCTATAAATTACCTTGGGAAGTATGGCCATTTTCATGATACTGATTCTTCCTACCCATGAGCATGGAATGTTCTTTCGTTTGTTTGTATCCTCTTTTATTTCCTTGAGCAGTGGTTTGTAGTTCTCCTTGAAGAGGTCCTTCACATCCCTTGTAAGTTGGATTCCTAGGTATTTTATCCTCTTTGAAGCAATTGTGAATGGGAGTTCACTCATGATTTGGAGCTCTGTTTGTCTGTTATTGGTGTATAAGAATGCTTGTGATTTTTGCACATTGATTTTGTATCAAATCAAGATACAAAATCTTGATTTTGTATCAAATCAAGATACAAAATCTTGATTTTGTATCAAATCAAGATACAAAATCTTGATTTTGTATCAAATCAAGATACAAAATCTTGATTTTGTATCAAATCAAGATACAAAATCTTGATTTTGTATCAAATCAAGATACAAAATCTTGATTTTGAGACTTTGCTGAAGTTGCTTATCAGCTTAAGGAGATTTTGGGCTGAGACGATGGGGTTTTCTAGATACACAATCATGTCATCTGCAAACAGGGACAATTTGACTTCCTCTTTTCCTAATTGAATGCCCTTTATTTCCTTCTCCTGCCTGATTGCCCTGGCCAGAACTTCCAACACTATGTTGAATAGGAGTGGTGAGAGAGGGCATCCTGTCTTGTGCCAGTTTTCAAAGGGAATGCTTCCAGTTTTTGTCCATTCAGTATGATATTGGCTGTGGGTTTGTCATAGATAGCTCTTATTATTTTGAGATAGGTGCCATCAATACCTAATTTGTTGAGAGTTTTTAGCATGAAGTGTCTTTGAATTTTGTCAAAGGCCTTTTCTGCATCTATTGAGATAATCATGAGGTTTTTGTCATTGGTTCTGTTTATATGCTGGATTACGTTTATTGATTTTCGTATGTTGAACCAGCCTTGCGTCCCAGGGCTGAAGCCCACTTGATCATGGTGGATAAGCTTTTTGATGTGTTGCTGTATTCAGTTTGCCAGTATTTTATTGAGGATTTTTGCATCAATGTTCATCAAGGATATTGGTCTAAAATTCTCTTTTTTGGTTGTGTCTCTGCCCGGCTTTGGTATCAGGATGATGCTGGCCTCATAAAATGAGTTAGGGAGGATTCCCTCTTTTTCTGTTGATTGGAATAGTTTCAGAAGGAATGGTACCAGTTCCTCCTTGTACCTCTGGTAGAATTGGGCTGTGAATCCATCTGGTCCTGGACTTTTTTTGGTTGGTAAGCTATTACTTATTGCCTCAATTTCAGAGCCTGTTATTGGTCTATTCAGAGATTCAACTTCTTCCTGGTTTAGTCTTGGGAGGATGTATGTGTTGAGGAATTTATCCATTTCTTCTAGATTTTCTAGTTTCTTTGCGTAGAGGTGTTTATAGTATTCTCTGATGGTAGTTTGTATTTCTGTGGGATCGGTGGTGATATCCCCTTTGTCATTTTTTATTGTTTCTATTTGATTCTTCTCTCTTTTCTTCTTTATTAGTCTTCCTAGTGGTCTATCAATTTTGTTGATCTTTCCAAAAAACCAGCTCTTGGATTCATTGATTTTTTGAAGGGTTTTTTTGTGTCTCTATTTCCTTCAGTTCTGCTCTGATCTTAGTTATTTCTTGCCTTCTGCTAGCTTTTGAATGTGTTTGCTCTTGCTTCTCTGGTTCTTTTAATTGTGATGTTAGGGTGTCAATTTTAGATCTTTCCTGCTTTCTTTTTCGGGCATTTAGTGCTATAAATTTCCCTCTCCACGCTGCTTTAAATGTGTCCCAGAGATTCTGGTATGTTGTGTGTTTGTTCTCATTGGTTTCAAAGAACATCTTTATTTCTGCCTTCATTTTGTTATGTACCCAGTAGTCATTCAGGAGCAGGTTGTTCAGTTTCCATGTAGTCGAGCAGTTTTGAGTGAGTTTCTTAATCCTGAGTTCTAGTTTGATTGCACTGTGGTCTGAGAGACAGTTTGTTATAATTTCTGTTCTTTTACGTTTGCCGAGGAGTGCTTTACTTCCAACTATGTGGTCAATTTTGGAGTAAGTGTGATGTGGTGCTGAGAAGAATATATATTCTATTGATTTGGGGTGGAGAGTTCTGTAGATGTCTATTAGGTCTGCTTGGTGCAGAGCTGAGTTCAATTCCTGGATATCCTTTTTAACTTTCTGTCTCGTTGATCTGTCTAATGTTGACAGTGGTGTGTTAAAGTCTCCCATTGTTATTGTGTGGAAGTCTAAGTCTGTTTGTACGCCTCTAAGGACTTGCTTTATGAATCTGGGTGCTCCTGTACTGGGTGCATATATATTTAGGATATTTAACCCTTCTTGTTGAATTGATCCCTTTACCATTATGTAATGGCCTTCTTTGTCTCTTTTGATCTTTGTTGGTTTAAAGTCTGTTTTATCAGAGACTAGGATTCCAACCCCTGCTTTTTTTTTGTTTTCCCTTTGCTTGGCAGACCTTCCTCCATACCTTTATTTTGAGCCTATGTGTGTCTCTGCACGTGAGCAGGGTCTGCTGAATACAGCACACTGATTGGTCTTGACTCTTTATCCAATTTGCCACTCTGTGTCTTTTAATTGGAGGATTTAGCCTATTTACATTTAAGGTTAATATTGCTATGTGTGAATTTGATCCTGTCATTATGATGTTAACTGGTTATTTTGCTCATTAGTTGATGCAGTTTCTTCCTGGCCTTGATGGTCTTTACAATTTGGCATGTTTTTGCAGTGGCTGGTACTGGTTGTTCCTTTCCATGTTTAGTGCTTCCTTCAGGAGCTCTTGTAAGGCAGGCCTGGTGGTGACAGAATCTCTCAGCATTTGCTTGTCTGTAAAGGATTTTATTTCTCCTTCAGTTATGAAGCTTAGTTTGGCTGGATATGAAATTCTGGGTTGAAAATTCTTTTCTTTAAGAATGTTGAATATTGGCCCCCACTCTCTTCTGGCTTGTAGAGTTTCTGCCGAGAGATCCGCTGTTAGTCTGATGGGCTTCCCTTTGTGAGTAACCCGACCTTTCTCTCTGGCTGCCCTTAATATTTTTTCCTTCATTTCAAGTTTGGTGAATCTTTTCACAGTCACATATTTCTTGGAGGCTTTGTTCGTTTCTTTTTACTCTTTTTTCTCTAAACTTCTTTTCTCGCTTCATTTCATTCATTTGATCTTCAATCACTGATACCCTTTCTTCCAGTTGATCGGATTGGCTACTGAAGCTTGTGCATGCGTCATGTAGTTCTCGTGCCATGGTTTTCAGCTCCATCTGGTCATTTAAGGTCTTCTCTACGCTGTTTATTCTAGTTAGCTATTCGTCTAATCCTTTTTCAAGGTTTTTAGCTTCTTTGCGACGGGTTCGAACATCCTCCTTTAGCTCGGAGAAGTTTGTTATTACCGATCATCTGAAACCTTCTTCTCTCAACTCGTCAAAGTCATTCTCCATCCAGCTTTGTTCCGTTGCTGGCGAGGCGTTGTGTTCCTTTGGAGGAGAAGAGGCGCTCTGAGTTTTAGAATTTTCAGCTTTTCTGCTCTGGTTTCTCCCCATCTTTGTGGTTTTATGTACCTTTGGTCTTTGATGGTGGTGACGTACAGATGGGGTTTTGTGTGGTTGTCCTTTCTGTTTGTTAGTTTTCCTTCTAAGAGTCAGGACCCTCAGCTGCAGGTCTGTTGGAGTTTGCTGGAGGTCCAGTCCAGACCCTGTTTGCCTGGGTATCACCAGCAGAGGCTGCAGAACAGCAAATATTGCAGAATGGCAAATGTTGCTGTCTGATCCTTTCTCTGGAAGCTTCGTCTCAGAGGGGCACCTGGCTGTACGCGGTGTCAGTCAGCCCCTACTGGGAGGTGTCTCCCAGTTAGGCTACGCAGGGGTCAGGGACCCACTTAAGGAGGCAGTCTTTCCATTCTCAGATCTCAAACTCCATGCTGGGAGAACCACTACTGTCACCAAAGCTCAGTCGGAAATTCAGAAATCACCTGTCTTCTGCGTCGTTCATGCTGGGAGCTGTAGACTGGAGCTGTTCCTATTCGACCATCTTGGATCCGGACCTGTCTATTTTCTTAGCCTTATGAGCTTTGTCAAAAGAGTGCAGCTTCTTCTGGTTTTTCTTATGAGTATACAAAAAATCTCTTTGATTGCGTTTAGCAATGTTTGAAAGTCTTAATTTGTTCTGGGCTTTAACTCACTTTGCTTTATATTGCCTCCTTTTAATGTTCCTTTTCATTGTAAGTATTTCTTTTTTTTTTCCGATATGGAGTCTTGCTCTGTCACCTAGGCTGGAGAGCAGTGGCACAATCTTGGCTCACTGCAACCTCTGCCTCCCGGGTTCCAGTAATTCTCCTGCCTCAGCCTCCCGAGTAGCTGGGATTGCAAGTTCCCGCTACCATGCCCAGCTAATTTTTGTATTTTTACTAGAGATGGAGTTTCACCATGTTGGCCAGGCTCGTCTCAAACTCCTGACCTTGTGATCCACCCATCTTGACCACTGCACCCAGCCTCACTGTAAATATTCTTTCCTTGGTTACTTTGCCCATTTCTCTCTTCTTCAGTGGAACATGTTTTTTCTGGGTTTCATTTGGGTAGCTTTTCACATTTGATGAACGATGTTGTCCTCAATCATAACAACAGTGTCTCTTTGTATAGTGGTTGCTCGGAGGTCTACAAGGTAGTATTATGTAACATTTCCCATTGTGTTCTAAATACTCTTATCTTTTTAAGTTAAAAAATTGAAGTCAAAGCTGCCTCTAAAGTCACACACATAGCTTGAAATAATAGAGTTGAAATTTGGACATAAAACATATTGCCATGGGATAATGCCTGTTGTTTTCCTAAAGTTTTAAAATTATCTTTTTGACATCTCAAATAAACATTTGTCTATTGACAGGGCTCCTTCCTTGGGCACAATAAATTCTAAGATGTTCTGGTTATTATTTTCTCAAGGATTCTGACACTGCCACCTTACTAATCATATTAGAGCCAAGTACGGAGTAGTGAACAAGTTCTGATAATTTGCAGGTTTATTACTTTGGGCTGAAAAAAATCTAGCTGATGTCATTGGTCTTGTTGGGATCTGTCTTCAGAATGCAATTGGAGTGCATCTCTTAACCCTTACTTAAGTATCACTGAAGTTCTCTTTCTTCAGCTCCCAGATGCTCCATAGCCTGCTCTGGCCTGTGAGGTCATGAGGTCCCTTTAAGATGTTATAAGTTGAACACAGTCTTCTTTCCATCCCTCTGTAACATGTCTTGGGAAGAAGCCATATCCTTCTCATACCTTATATTCTCATTCAGACCCTAATTCTGTCAACTCTCAGAGGTGCATAGAAAGAATTATTATTATTTTTAATTTTTTTAGTTTTTAATTTTGTGGTTGCATAGTAGGTGTATATATTGATGGGCTACATGAGATGTTTTGATACAGGCATGCAATGTGAAATAAGTGCATCAAGAAAAATGGAGTATCCATCCCCTCAAGCAATTATCCTTCGCGTTGCAAACAATCCAATTACACTCTTTAAGTTATTTAAAAATGTACAATTAAGTAATTATTGACTATAGTCATCTCTTGTGTTATCAAATACTAGGTGTTATTCATTTTTTCTATTTTTTTGTACCCGTGGAAAGATCATTTATTGCCCTTTATTAACAGTTCATCTTTATCACTTATATTCCCACAGCTGTGGATACATTCGTAAGAACAATTATTAGTGATGACATCGCCACATGATTTTCTTTTTAAATTATATGCACCTGTGTTGTTGTATTTTTTTCTGTGTCGTGTCTGATGTCTTTCTGCAGGACTTAATTTTGTTATTTGGTTTCCTCTCTTTCTACTTAGCAGTAAGTCTCAAAAAAATAGGTTCGTCTTATTCTCGTATTATATACTTTAGCCAAAAATCTATAGTTTAAAAATTGGTATTGAATTTATCACAGAAGTATAATTTAACTACATAGCAAGAAATTTAGAAATAAAAGGAAAGAGAACAAGATCATCTATCCAGCTTCCTCAGGGAAAAGGAGCTGATCTATGTTGAATCCCTTCTGTGTTTCTAGAGCTGTGTTTGTTGGATTTAACACCCATTATCTCATCTCAATCCAGCAGATCTCTTTGTCCATTATCTTCTCATATGCAGATTTTCCCATCCCATCTCCTTCATCTCTCCACATGTTTAAATAGTTCTTATATTTATTGTTGTAATGACTGTAGAGTAGATCGTCAAATTAAGATGCTTAAATTTATGTAAACTTGACCGGGCATGGTGGCTCACGCCTGTAATCCCAGCACTTTGGGAGGTTGAGGCAGGTGGATCATGAGATCAGGAGATCGATACCATCCTGGCTAACATGGTGAAACCCCGTGTCTACTAAAAATACAAAAAAAAAATTAGCCTGGGCGACAGGGCGAGGCTCCGTCTCAAAAAAAAAAAAAAAAAAACTCTGTAAACTTTCCTCTAGGTCTTCATTTGTGTTGTGTCTTTTGTAGTTCTCATAGAATAAAGTCCTTGGTCCTGGTATGTTAAAATTGGTATGCTGTTGTTATAACTTTATATTTGTAGTGCTGTAAGTCATTTGAAAACACCAATGTCAGGAGGTATTCAATGTTCCTATGCTAGGTTTTCTTTAACAAGTCAAAATGTCATCTGGAAGGAGAGACAACGTGTAACCCCTATCTCCTACCCCCTGTAAATTCTAATTTATAGAATTTAAACCTGTTTCTATGTGTCTTCTTCCAAGCCTCATCTGTTCCCACAGGTAGACTGTAGGAATTGTCTGTCATGTCCCGGGAACCAGACACTCATCAGCTGGTCATGCCAGTCTCTCTTCCTCACCCCAGAATCATCAGTCAGCAGGCAAGGCTCCTTTCTTGGGAGTGAGGTTCTCCTGTTCCCTCTCATCCCCATCTGCCGCCGCACGTGGCTGCTGTGTGGCTCCCTGTGAGTGAGGTGCTGCTCCTTCTCCAGAGGTGTAATTCATTTTCCATGAGACAGACCTCAGTATTTCAGAAGAGTAAGCCTTACTGGGGCCTTCACACATGTGAGAAGACTTCAGAGCAGAGACAAAACTTGAGTTGAGCCCTGAAGATAATAAGTGATGGGAACTCGCAGACAGGAGGGGCTGCAATGTCATCGGGTGAGCGGTCAAGGAGCGTTGGTGCATGCATCCCACATTCAGGAAACAGTGAGAAGACCACTCCAATTAAAGGAGGAAGCGCATCTGAGAAATGTGTAGGGGATTCGGCTGTAGTGCAGAGAGTGACAGGGAACAGGTGATGGAAGGAATTGAATGCCAGGACCTGAAATTTGAATTTCAGGACAGGTGCAGTGGGGATCCATTGGAGCTGGTTGATATGGCTGTTTGTGTGACTTGCACTCAGCAATAGTTTAAAACTGTTTCTGCTCTGGTGATATGTAAGGTGTGTGTGTGGCTGGGGACAGTCAATAAGGAAACATTGGCTGTAAGGATTAGTTAGGTCATTAACATGAGGACCTACAGTGAGATGATGATCATGATAATGGAAAAGCTGCCATATACACACAAAAAGTACATAATCCTTGTCAATTTATTGGCTGTAAAGGGAAGATAAGGGTGGGGGCTCAGGACAGTGTACTTATTGAGCATTTTTCAGTTTCAGGTGACCAAAATCTAAGATCAAATAGGCTTGAATAATAAAGGGAACCAAAGTGTCTTGATTGAAGCCAGGCTGAATTTAGGCAATCAGATTCTTTCATCAGCAGTCTGCCTCTTTCCTTCTTGCAGTTTTATTTTCATCTACAACTGGCCTCATTCTTGGGCAGCTCTGTCTATGCCTTAGCTTCAGGCATACCGTTTACCAGCTTAGGAGCGTGACTATTTTCCTTTATTTCTGTTCTTAGCAATGTTGAGTTCTACAGATATTATGCCTTTATTTGTTTATTCTACTCAGTAGGATAAGCTTCACAGGAGCAGAGACTTTTTCTGTTGTTTATGGTTATATCCCCAGAACATAGGGGCACACCTGGCACAGTATAGATTTTCAACAAATATTTGTTGAATGAATGAATGGGTATTTCTTCCAAGAGTTCAAGCCGAAAGTCCCAGGTTCTGCTGTTATTCATTCGAAAGTCCCAGGTTCTGTTCCCATTCATTCAGCGTGGGCTTCCTGACCATCCTGGAACCAGTCCTTTCCAGTAGGACAGGCATGGCATTCAGTTGCCAGGCCTGAGGCGTGTCCCTGTGCTGGCCCCAGGTGGTAGGGTGAGCCCCCTTCAGACCCCATGGAGTGAGATGTAGGGAAGACAGTGACTGAAGATAATCGAATGGAGATCAAGACCATGTAAAACAGAAGTTTTTATATGGAAAAAAGTAGATTTTTACATTGACCATCACTGCTTATGTTCACTGTGAGTAAAATGTACTTTTTCCAAAGCATTCCCTCTAGATAGCAATGCACAGATCAATTCAGATTCATAACAAGATGAACTTTTGGTACCTTCTAAATAAAAGCATTATTTAACCTCTCATTAAGATAATGTTAAGGTACATTAAGAACTGAAAAGACAGGTGATGAAATGGGAAGAATGGAATAGCGCCGTATCCAGATGAACATCCAGACGTGGCCTGAAGAAGGTATGGGCACCCCCTTCCCTGTTTGTGATTCGATTCCCGAGGCTGTGCTCCCTGCTGACTCAATATGTGGAACCAGAGAGAAGCCTGCTGTGGAGTTAGTGAATTTGACCTAATCGAGACAGTCTGAGAAAGGACAGGAATCTTTTTTTTTTTCTTTTTTCTTTTTTTAGAACAAAGAGGTTTTCTGTACATCTGTGATAACACAGTAACCATCTGTTGAACTCTTTAATAATAGGCTTTGTGTTTTTCTGATAATTCGAAGCTTGTTAAGGTGCCGTCCCCTCATATTAGCAATTCGGTGGCCCCTTCCCCTCTCCTTCCATCGTTAGGTTCCGCCGACACAGTGCTTAGCTCCTTTCACAGTGAGGAGCAAGTGCAGCCGCAAGCATGGGGAGAGCCACAGCCTGGCAGAGTGGCTTAGCATCATGAAGCCCTTCTCAGAAGGAATTGAGTATCTGTGCGATTCAAAAGGATGTTAATCGTATTTTCAGTGGAACTCTCCTGCATTTGCCCTAAAATATCCAATATGTAATTCCATATAAACAGTGTGTTCATTTCCTATGGCCCTTGTGAGAAATGACCATAAACTGGCTGACTTAAAGCAAAAGAATTTATTCTGTCATAGTCTGGAGACCAGAAGTTCCGCATCAGTATCCCTAGTCCAAAATCAAGATGGGCCACACTCCCTATGAAGGCTCTAGGGGGACATCCATTCTTCGTTTCTTCCGGCTTCCTGTGGTTGCCCGTGTGCCTCACCTTGTGGGTGCCTCACTCCATTTTCACACCCTCTTCTCTTTTGTGTGGGGCTCTGTTCATCATCACCTTTATCTCTCTTACAAGGGCAGTTCTGATGGTATTTAAGACCCAGCCAGATAATTCAAGATAATTTCCTCGTCTCAGGGTCTTTGATCACATCTGGAGAACCTTACCTTCTGAAGTAACCTTCACAGGGTCCCGGGATTGGGGCATAGACATATCTTTGGGAGCCACTGTCAGCCTGTCCTAACACATGTAAGATTCATCTCTGATAAAGGCATTCAGCCACAAGTGCAGTGTGGTTTGGTCTTTTAATAAAATCCTTTAAGTAATACTGTAATGAATTCGGAGCTCCATCTGGAGATGCCAGGAGGTGTCCTCATTTGAATGTAAAGCTCCTCCCCATAGGATCAGTTGTCGCCCCTCCTTTTGGCTTTTCCCATCTCCTCTGCAGATACGGACAAAATCTGTCCATGTATTATCCATGCATTCTTTTTTTTTTTTCATTCTTATTATCAGATCCCAGAATAATGAATTGCTGTTTGAAAATGCATGGTTTATGTTTATCTTTTCCAGAAGCACTTTTATACGCATCTCTCCCTAGTACTGTTTGCTCTTTCAGAGGCTGGTTTTGTTCCTAAGCAATTAAGATGCTTCCCTGTGTTTTGGAATAAATAGTAGTATCTAAATATTTTGCTCTTCTGTTTATTTCCTATAACAGATATTTACACATCTCCCTCCCATGTTAGATTCTGGACTTCTTGAACCTAGAACTATGTCTCTCTTTATGCCCCATAATGCTTTGCACATGGTAGGTGCTCAATACACTTTTATTAAATAAGTGCAAGAATTAACATAAATGAAACGCTGTTTTGAAAAGTATATCATCTCTGTCTTAGGTAAGGGCAATTCCTCAAATTGATTTTTTAATCATTTCATATTCATGTGGTAAAAATTGTCATAAACTAGCACATCTGTGAATGCAATGTTGATTTGTATACAGGAAGCCCTTAGGCTAATTTTAATCTTCTGCTGTCTTTCATGAACATAATACTAAGAAATGGTTTCTGTCCCAAACCGTTCATAGGCACCATGCTGGGAATCACAAAGCATGCTGGGAATACTTGTCAAGGAGAAGTGGAAAGCTAAGAGTGATGCCAGGCAGGGGTCAGGGGACAAACCAAGACCATAGAGTGGGGAGAGAGGAACCTAGGCAGAGCTAATCGCCGAGACTAAATCAACAAGCCTAGGGAAGTGCAGCAAGCCAAAAACCCTCTGGTCTAGCGTGCATCTTCAAAGTTGTCACTTGAGGTGGCTGCATGGAAGGTGGCAGGTGGGATCCTCTATGGGTTTATCTCTACTTCTCTCTCAACCGTTGTTGAGCCTTCAGCTAAGTCACCAACCCATACTGTGTTTATTCTCTGCATTTTCCAAATGCTTCTCTTCTTCAAACCTGCAAGTTTTAATATGAATCCAGCTGTTACCCAGTTCAGCACAGGTGATTTTTAAGGAAGTCCACCATTTTTGAACAGATATAAAATAACCCTGAATAAAACATTTTATATCATTTTCAACCATGATCTTCTAGGAGAACAATAATATAAAATATACCTATGTAGCAATGAATCTCTGCCTTTAGATGGTGAGAATAAATGTGAAATAATCAATACTTGTAACATTAAGACCCTAGAACCCTCTATATTGAGCCAAGCACATGGAAATATAGTGAATCTTAACCAGATTTCCAAATAAGCTGAGGAAGAGGGAGATCCAGCCCCTGTAACACTTGTGGGGTGCCCACTGTATTTTCCCCTCTGACTCAGTAGTGTACAATTCTTTCTAGAAAGAAAGTGTTTACAGAATTCAAAATGATAGGGAAAAAACAATAAACTTAGGTACCAGATATGTTCTTATGTTCTTTTATTTTATAAAATTTAGTGCCTTTCTTTCTTTCTTTTTTTTTTTTAAGACGGAGTCTTTCTCTGTCACCCAGCCTGGAGTGTACTGGCACCATCTGGGCTCACTGCAACCTCCTCCTCCCAGGTTCAAGCGATTCTCCTGCTTCAGCCTCCTGGGAAGCTGGGACTATGGGCACGTGCCACCATGCCCAGCTAATTTTTTGTATTTTTAGTAGAGACGGGGTTTCACCGTATTAGCCAGGATGGTCTCGATCTCCTGACCTTGTGATCCACCCACCTTGGTCTCCCAAAGTGTTGGGATTACAGGTGTGAGCCACCACGCCCGAATTTATTGCCTTTCTGAAGGGCAAGATTTATTCAAGCCTGTGCCAGAAATTTTCTTCATTACAAGGTGACTCTTTGGCAGACAGATGCTATTGACTCTTGAATTTTCCAAAGGCGAAATGGAAAATTTCAGCAATTTTGTTTCCAGCTGTCTTTACAGATTTATATTTGGACCTTAATCCTATTGGAAATCATCTGAAACTCATGAAACACACAATTGGAAAGTTAATTAGGGAGAAACCAAGGGAAAGAATAACTATTATCTATTACACCTATTTAGAACCTTCTCTTGAGATCTGGTTATTATTTTTATTAGAGATGTGAATCTGATACCTCTAGGCCTCTTGTGTTTGAACTTTAATAAATTGTACTCTGCTAACTTAGGAAGACTAAGTTTAATTAAGTGTATTGGTTAATGATAATTCTCTTTTACGTATTTAGTAAATATTCAGTTGAAGTTTATTGAGCATGTGCTATCTTTCAGATTCTGCGCTAGGTATAGAGCACATGAAGTTGGGAAAGACTTTTATTGTGCCTTCAAGAGCTCATGATTCCACAGAGAGAGTTAGACATGTCAGCCAGGAATCCCAGGGACATGTGAAATGCCCAGTGCTGTTTCATGTATCGCATGATACTGCAGGAATCCAGGGACACGTGAAACGCCCAGTGCTGTTTTATGTATTGCATGATACTGCAGGACAGAGGCATCATGAGAACAGCTATCATGCTTTTCTAATGTAGGAAGAGATTTTATCCAAAAAATGTCAATGCTACTTTAGATGTTCTTGGATTTGTTTTATTCTTTCCCAGAAAATAGAGAGAAAATAACATCAGGCAGACAGGCTTAGGAGGCACTATTCCCTGGATGATGTCCTTCCTTCTTGGATCCTGCTGTGACCACTCGTGGGCCATGTGGGACTTGTCTATAGATGGAGCAGAGCCTTAGTTGCCTTCTTGTACTTTAGCTTCTTCACAGTTTTAAAATGCCTTTTTAGAAAATGTAAGTAAAGTTCGTAGCCAGTTGGATTCGTATTTATCTATTTTTCTTAGCCCACTCTGTAGCATATTTGCTGACATCTGGGAATCCCGACTGCACAGTGTTATCCAGAGAGCATGTGTGCTGGGGAAATCAAGAAAGCCTCTCTTGTGGCATAAACATTGAGGGGGACATTTAAGGAAAGCGTAGAGAAAGCAAACCTTTCTTAACAGCTCTGCACATTTCAATGGCTTCTTGCTGTGTAAAAATATTGGGTGCTCTTCATGCTAAAGATGTTAAATGCAATTTCTTAGCTAGATTATGCTGCTCTTTGTATGTAAAAAATCACAAATTCCAGTGTCTGACTCACCTGTATAAATGTGACATTGTCACTTATGGGGAATATATAGAAAAATGTTCCTATATCAAATACTCTGAATGTTTTACCAAGCAATGAGATACTGTTCTCCCTATTGTAGAATAGATGCTTCACAATGAGTTACTGAGTTTTTCTTTTGTCATGTCTTAAAGACATGTCACTGTCTTAATGGCAATGCATGCTTTTAGAAAAGCAGATATAATTCCAGTATTTCTTTATGAAATGATATTCACTCAGGCAAATTATGTGCACTGAATTTTCTTTCTGTTGTTGCAGTATCATGTACTCAACCAAACAAATCAGGAGAGACCCTGAATTACCTCTTATCTATCTCACTGAACATAGTTGACATTTTGCTAAGTCGTAGCAATCTAATTAATTCTGGTTGCCTTCTTTCTGTGACTTAACAAGTTGCTCACAAAGAAAAAAAGTGTATCCAAAATATGCAGTTCAGAATCATCTAATGATATATTCAAGGTATAACATTCCTCTTTCACAGACATATCTTAATGTGTGACAGAAAACTTATGTGTAACATTATTAGATCAATAACCATGCTGGAAGAGGTACCCTTTTTATGAGAAAATAATATGACATGCCTGAAAGTACAGTGATTACAGGATTGGACTGCGGGACTCAGAGGTAACCTCTGGGTTGCTTCTGTTACCCATGGCTACGCATAGGAAAAGAGCTACCCAAGGTGGGAATGGTCCCAGGGGCTCCTCAAGTTTGACGGTGGGGAACACCAGGGGCAAGAAGGCTCTGAGGGTCCTTATGGTCTTAGGACAAATAAGATGATCTGGGTCAAACACTACTTAACCCCCAGCAATTCTTTTAGACCAGAGCTGAAGCAATAGAGAGTCACCCTGAGGTGAGGGTGACATGGTGACATGCAGGGGTCCTTGGGTTGGAAAGGCAGAGCAAATTCCTGCAATGCTCAAGTTATCAGGCAAAAAGGAGGAGCCTCCATCTCCTGTAGGCAAGTAGCCCGCAGTAATTCCCTCTGGAGGGGTCTACAGAGTGGGCTTTTTCCAGTTCATCACTACAGGTGTTGCCTCTCATGGGTCCTGGCTTCACGCAGGTAACTCTGACCTGAACACCTGGTGCATTTCACTTTTCCCATCCCCCACAGGTTCTGTGCTGGGGCACTGTGAGAATTTCTAGCCGCTATTGAGGTTTGGGCACAGAATTCACACTACCTCTGTATGTGTGTACCTAAAGAACCTAAGCATCAAATTGAGTTTAAAGTAGTGTTGGATGGGTGATGTACCCAGACATCTTGCAGAATTGAGAAAATGTGGGACATTAGGGAACTTTGAGGGCTAATGGACCTGTTTTATGTCTTCATTATGGTGGAGGTTACAAGGCTGAATGCATTTGTCAAAATGAATAGAGCTGTACACTTTAAAAACATCAAATAAATTCTCTGGAATTTTACTCTCTGTAAATTATGCTGCAATGTAAATTTTAAAAATTGTAAAGAATTAAAAAAGGAGTGATGATTGCCATACATCCTAGAATATATTCATATATATTTTTGGACTATTATTTCTCCCAAGCTGCAATCTGAGTGTTAACCATATCACGGTATTTTTCCTGGCAGCTGACTGTGATGCCCCACTGGCCTCTGCCTTGCCTAGGTCATCCTTCAGCAGCTCCTCAGAGCTGTCCAGCAGCCACGGCCCGGGGTTTTCAAGGCTTAATCGAAGAGATGGTGAGTCTGCCTTTTTCCTTGTATTGCTCCTTGGTGACTCTCATTGGATTTTCATTTAACAAAATAATTATAATTGATTAATACTTTGCAGAAGGAAGTAAAATTCAGAATAAGCATATTTGTTCACATTTGAAACTCCAAGAATGTATTTGACAGGAATAAGTTGATCACTTCGGCTTTCTTGTCCTGCTGGGTTTCCCTTGGTATGATCTTTGTGTGCCTTGAACAAGTCACACCTGACTTTGACA
Source organism: Homo sapiens (assembly GCF_000001405.40). Lineage (NCBI taxonomy): Eukaryota > Metazoa > Chordata > Mammalia > Primates > Hominidae > Homo > Homo sapiens. The sequence continues at coordinate 67,083,051 of NC_000009.12, forward strand.
GTGTTTGAACTCTTTGTATACCCCTTGCAATATCTGAGTATTATTTATCAAAGACCTTAGATTCTGCCATGTCCTTTTTTTTTTACCTTGGATTCTTTTGTTCTGCCACAGTATACATTTTGTTGTCCCAGATTATTTAATTATCCCTATTTGGATGAGAAAATTGGCAAAGTAAAGAAGCGTTTAAGAAGATTTTTATTATGTTTTAACTACAACTCTTAGTTTATTTCTTATTATGGTGGACTTGATTCTCTCTTTAGCATCCACTGTAGAGAAATAACCATGTAATGGTTTATTCATGCTCCACTGTGACTATTCCATTTATATTTGTAAACATATCTCATGAGGAGTGTGTTTCTTTTACATATGCTTAAGCAGAAGTGTAGAAAATTGAATGTTGTCTTGCTGTGTAAATTAGAGGGAACTTTAAACACCAAATACATTGTGACAAGGAATCATCCTGGCATTTTCTGAGCACAAACTCAGATAGAACTTCTTTGAATAAATTCTCAGAGGAAATTAAATTTACACTATTAATAAAATGTATTTGTAGGCATATATTAAAAAGATTCAAAAGTGTCTACTGTATTTTATATAATTGTGCTTTCCTATTTTCTTATTGCCCTTGTTCTTTTTTTTTTTTTTGAGACGGAGTCTCGCTCTGTCACCCAGGCTGGAGTGCGGTGGTGCAATCTCAGCTCACTGCAAGCTCTGCCTCCTGGGTTCACACCATTCTCCTGCCTCAGCCTCCCAAGTGGCTAGGACTACAGGCACCCGCCACCAGGCCTGACTAATTTTTTGTTTTTTTTTTTTTTTTTTTTTAGCAGGGACGGGGTTTCACCATGTTAGCCAAGGTGGTCTGGATCTCCTCACCTCCTGATCCACCCACCTCAGCCTCCTGAAGTGATAGGATTATAGGCGTGAGCCTGTAACCGCGCCCAGCCTTTTTTTTTTTTTTTTTTTAACTCCCTGTTGCATTTCTTGGTGTTTTCTGTATTTGAGCACATTTAATGCATTGCACATTGGACCAAATAAATATGTTCTGGCATTTGTTATAGGCAGTATGGCTATGAAACATAAACAATTTAACTTTTCGTTTTTCTGTTTATTTTTCTTAAGTCTGTGATTTCATTTGTTGCAGAGATATGGGCTCTGTTTCGTTACTTTAGATTCTATTGCTGCAGAGCCTCAGTGGATGGTCATTATCACTGAAACAGTGACTAAGCCTGGGCACAGGGGGTAAAGGAAAACAAGAGCAATCTCAAGCCATAGCTCTTCTTGATGTCAAATCATATTTTGTACTAAAGTACATGATTATGAGGATTCTTTATCTTAGGGATCATTTTTATTCTTAGTTCATGTTCCTGTAACTCATCGTGCAAAAAAGCATGATATCAATCTTAATAAAATTTATTTTCATGTTAATGAAGTTAGAAAAACAGGCTTACTTTAGTTAGCTATCAACTAAGTTTATTACAAATTCATTGTTGTTGCTTTTTTAAATTGGTTTTGACTTTTTTCTTCTCCCTCGTGGTAGCCTGGAGTATTCATCAAAGGAGTTCCAAATTGGGAGTGATTTATTGAAGGCTATAGATTATCTCTAGTGTTTTCATATCCTTTATTAGATTCAGAATGGTCTATGGAAGAGTGACTGAACAAATGTTCTGATCATAAATAATTAAACTAACAAATAATGACCCCCTGTCTCAGACATTAAAGCCTTTCTCCAGTGGAGTGTAAAGATCTCAGAGCTAAAAATTAACAGGCAGAAAACAAGTAGTTTCCCTGTTGTGCAGCCCAGTGCCTTCTTCCCATGTGATGGGAAGACGCCATGGAAACAGCTGCGATAGTTACTCAAGCCTTAGCCTGAGGGGTGAGAGGGGAACAAGGTAGCTATGCATCCCGTCTGTCCCAGTGTAAAGAGTCAAAATGGACTTTTTGGAGGTGTCTTTCTTCATGCCTCTTGGATACCACAAGTAAACTAGTTCTTCCATGCCACTAAATGATGAACCCATGGGCCAAACAAGTTAATGCACTTTTATAAGCAACTTATTTAATTCCCTTTAATGGGGAAGACTCAATTTTTCCACCAAAGGTTTCATAAGTTATGAAGCATAATCCAGAATTACTTTCAACTTGTAAAAATGTATTATCATGAATATTGCACAGATTGGATTATAACTAATTAAATATGTTTTTGCTTTCTACATCTTCATAGTTAGAATTTCAGTATAACCTCTAACATGGTATTGGCTAATTTGAGGATAAAGTGACTTGTTGTAAATTTATTTATTTATTTATTTATTTATTTATTTATTTATTTATCGAGATGGAGTCTTGCTGTGTTGCCAGGCTGGAGTGCAGTGGTGCAATCTCGGCTCACTGCAAGCTCCGCCTCCTGGGCTCAAGTGATTCACCTGCCTCAGCCTCCCGAGTAGCTGGAACTGCAGGTGCCCACCACCACACCAGGCTAATTTTTGTATTTTTAGTAGAGAAGGGGTTTCACCATGCTGGCCCGGATGGTCTCAATGTCCTGACCTCGTGGTATGCCCACCTCGGCCTCCCAAAGGTGTGAGCCACCGCACCTGGCCGACCTGTTGTAAATTTAAGAGGCTAAGGGTCAGTGTGCATTTCTACACCTTTCACATTGCATCACTTGAAGCTAAGAAGAACTCTGTGGTATATTACATGTAAAAATAAGACTGAAATAAGCTGACAAAGACTTAGGGCAAAAAAATAAGGTTTTGAGTAGAATTGAAGAAAACATTTTGATAATAATATCAAAGAAATTCAGAGATGCCATTGAAACCATTTAATTATTTAAACATGTTTGTTATTCCTTTTTCTGTAACTTCTTCTGACACTAATTGAAAATTTCAGAAAATTAACCTATAGTTTAAAATGTTTAAAATATGAGAATTCAAATGATACACTGGCACATAGTAAATTCTTAACATTTCAAAATAAATAATGAATGATCTATATTAGGAAATGAAATCTTTATATGATACACACATACAGTTGTAAAACTTGGTTTTCTCCATAATCAATAATTGGCTTTCAGAGGCAATTTAATTATGCAATGGTTGTCCTTAGTTTTATTATACTTTATAATAAATGGATTGATGCTTTGTTTAGTTGACAAATACAGACATAGGTGAATTAATTTTACCTTTTTCCTTAGGCCTGTCTTCTCATGTGCTTATAGCTGTGTCTGTGTCAGATGAATTTGTGAAAATATATTCTCTTGTTTTAGACAATTTCAACAATTAATAAACACTGTGAAGTTGTTATTCCATGACTGTTTGAGATGGAAAACCAGCCGTTTTGGGTATCATTCACATACTGGCTAAAGACATACATTTATTTGTGCATTTGCTGCCCTGTGTCTCCTCTGCATTTATTATATTAGCAGTTTCAGTTTAAAGTTTATTTTTCTGTAATTCAGATTCCTTGCTTCTTATGCTGGTTGTCATATGAATATGCCTTTCTAAGATTAGGATAAAACACTCTTCTTGGTGTTTTCTTTCAGTCCTGTCTTGAGTTATTTTTAATCAAAATGCTAGGCTGAGGTCAACTGATTGTAATTTGTTTATAAGGAAAAAATGGAAGGTGACCTGAAGAATTTTCTCTCCTCCCTTTACCCAAAAGTATTTATTCTTATTTTGAAATGAGAAATTCCTTCAGAATTCCCCAAGATCAAAGAGGGCTATCTCACTGACAGCTAAGACACTGTTGTCTTCATCTGTAACTTGACTAGTCTTGTCCAAAAGAGGCCTCTTCTGGGTTGGAATTGCATTTAGTTTTAAATAAACAATTATGCAGAAAGTGCTTCTTCCATCTTATTAAAATTTCAGAGTTAGAAGAAAAGGCATCTGAAGTTTCCAAGTAGAACTATAACAGACCTAGTGTTTTTAGTATCCCCATAAGTAAGCATTCTAGCATAAGGGAGGGTTTGCTGGTTGCTCATTGAATGTTGTCTTGGCCGCTCACAGACCAACACATGATGAGTGTAAGATAAACTCTTTGGTCTAAAGAGAGAAAACATAAGAGTCTGTAGCTGTAACATGTCTGCTGACCCAAGCTGGAATGTTTTAGTGTATTGTGTCACCTAGTGAGTTTTAGGATTTCCCTCCCCACTTATGAGTTTTCCACCTCAGGTTAAAGGAATGTGGGATATTAAGGAGAATTATTAAGAGAGAAAGGGCAAGTATTTGGAAATGCAAAACCTAGACAAGGTGGAGATGATGTACTGGAGTCAGAGAGGAATTAATAGCATATTAATATCAACATCATTATGGCCCACACACATCTATCATGCTCTCTAGTATTGTGTCCAAGGTCCATAGATGGTCACTGTCTTATTATATCCCTGATCATACTAGCTTCACCAGACTTTCAGGTCACCCAGGGGCTACATCTCTTAGACAGCAGAATATTAAGATAATGGAAAACAATAATAAGTTATGACAGTGTGTGAAAAACATGAAAAAGATTTTATATTCTCTCATGATAGATGTAATTCAAGATGCTACTGCAATAAATTAAAAAATATATATGCTTTTTTGCAAGGATAACCCATGTGTTTTCATGGTCTAACGAAGTTAGACAGCATTGTTATTTGTGGCTTGAGACCTCTGCAATTGCTCCTTTTTAAAGTTGCAAAATGAATGTACAATAACTAACCATGCATTAGACCGAAGGAGAGTTTGAGAATTTTTTCAAGGGGCCTTCACTAATGAAGCAAGCTGTCTTATTTGGGGATCTGTAAGCAGCAAAGATAAACATTGCCTAAGACATTTCTGTTGAAATGGCGTAAAACACATGGATTACTTACTTCTTCAGGGATTTTAAATACTTGGAAACAATGCAGTGAACACAGATATTACTGTGAAGAACATTTCAGCAAATGAGTTTACAAAATGGATGAAACCGAAGAAGTGTCTTATGTTTCTAGCTTCTCACCTGAAGAGATTAACTATATGGGTGGACCTCATCAACATTCGAAACTTTCTTTCCAAGAGGTTTTTCCTGTAGAATTTTAGGACTTTCTGGGAAGATGCATGACAGATGCATGCCATTGTTGATGATGTGGGTCACTGTGGAAACTGCCCTAATGAGGCCATTATGCTGCCTATTTGTGATATTTGGTTATGAGTTGATGACAATATTGTAGAGAAAATAGACACTCAAGCTGTTGAAAAATTTTACAGGTTGACATCAATTATCACTTAGAACTTTTTTCTCAATTTTCTGAGTGAATGAGGATTGTGTTTAAAAAGATACTTTCTGCCTCATTTCTTCTCCAGTTATTTTGAAAAAGCTCAGATTCTGATTTCTTAGGAAAAGAGTAAAGCAGGGAAACTAGAGGTGGGAATTTGTGCTGCACACAACCTAGCCACGACTCTGGGTGCACCAGCCCTTCGGATCTGGGCAGGTAAGCATTTGCCCAGGTATCAGGCTGCCTGTGTGGCTCCACAGAACAAAGATGGGGAAGCAGAGGCATCAGCTTCTCTTATAGCACAGCACACAGCCTTCCAGGAGTGGATACACACTTTCTTTCTATTATTAGCACAAATAATTATCTCAACTCAATAGAAAAAATAGCAATCTGTGCCTGATTGTCCTGAAAATGTTTCATTAATTTACTTGTATTCAGTGAATATGAAACCATAGTTGGTGGTTTTTCAGTAAGTACAGAAAACATATTTGGTGGGTTGTTTTCCATGCAGAGTGTAAATATTGTAGGGCCAAAGTCTTAGTTATCTGTTTTTTTTTTGCTGTTGGTTTTTTTTTTTTTTTTGAGACAGAGTCTCGCTCTGTCACCCAGGCTGGAGTGCAGTGGCACGATCTCTGCTCACTGCAAGCTCCACCTCCCAGGTTCACGCCATTCTCCTGCCTCAGCCTCCCAAGTAGCTGGGACTACAGGCACCCACCACCACGCCCGGCTAATTTTTTTTTTTTTTTTTTTTTTGTATTTTTAGTAGAGACGGGGTTTCACCATGTTAGCCAGGATGGTCTCAATCTCCTGACCTAGTGATCCACCTTTCTCGGCCTCCCAGAGTGCTGGGATTACAGGCGTGAGCCACCACGCCCAGCCTAGTTATCTTTTTCATGGAATAAAACTACAGAGGATACATTCCAGTGTCAGTAAGACAAAGAGTTTCTGCTTCTCTGAGGAAGTAAGTTTGCTATGTAGACACACACACACAGAAAATGGTCAAAAGTTGCTTTTATAAACTCCAATAATCAATTTTTTTACATTAGCACCTTACTCCATGAAGATCACAGTATATGAATACAAAATAATATGTATGAATGTTGATTTGTGGAAAAAAATCTTAGAGATATCACTCCCTCGTTTTTCCAAATTCTGTGTATTGTCTGTTGAAACAGTTCATGCTTATGATTCTAATACATCATTTCCATGGATCTCCCCCTCAGCTTAGTCTCTTCATGTCTCACTTGGATTATTTTGAAAGTCCCATGATTGAACTTCAACTTTTGAAGCTTTCCCTAATTAAATAAATGCTTAGCAAAGTCCTCAGTTAATGTTCTTTAAAGTGCTATTCTCTTCTTATTCCATGCTCAGTTGATGAATCTCAGACACTAACCCCATAGAGCAGTTCTCAAATTCACAAGCCACCTAATGCCCACTGCCATACGTAAGAAGGTGGTCTAGTAAATTTTGGAGTAAAGGCAATATATATTTCACAAAATCAAAATGTAAGATCAATTACAATTCAGCTAATATTTAATTAGGATATAAGGCA